>NC_000010.11:3191818-3343333 GCF_000001405.40 Homo sapiens | reverse complement strand
AGCCACTGTGCTTGCCCTAAAGCCAACAGTTTCCAAGTGCTCCCCATAAGTGTTATAAGATAAAGTACAATTAGTAATATTGAACAAAATTTCTTTTAAATATATTTTTTTCATAATGAATCCTTTAAAAGCTCTTTCCAAATCCTGTTTCTGTTCCTAGGCGTCATGGCAGCACTTGTGAGTAGATTTGGGGTTTGTGTGTGTGTGTGTGTGTGTGTGTGTGTGTGTGATTTTGGTTTTTATAAATGCATTAACTCTCTCTGGGCACATTTGTTGTTTTCCTGATGGCAGCTGGCTTGCTTCCTCTTCCAATTCCTATGTTCAAGTAGCCAATTAGAAAGGTAGAATTTACTTTCACCAGATTGTAAGGTTATTAAGGGCAAAATTACGCCCATCCCTTTCATTACTACATCCCAGCTGCATTTAATAGTCAACAACGTATGGGTTGACTGCTTGTTAAATGGATGCATAATGAACAAATGGGCAGATTTACATGCCAGTAAGTGGGTCTGAACTTCATGTCAGGAGCGCAGACCTTGCCTGTCTTTTCCTAACCAGAATGAAGTCCTTTGCCCTTTCAGAAGTAAGAAAATGTGCCTAACCCCCTAATAAAAAGCAGGTCTTAATGACATAACTATAATTTGAAAAGCTCATTGATAGCACTCCATAAATATGAGATCACATATCAGTAAGTATTGGGTCACTGGGAACAGGTGTCTGGCCAGCTTGGAAAAAGCCCTGTAACATAAGGAAATTGTCAGTTTCTGAAAACCTGGATTATAGACACATGTCTGTCACTAATTTAATTGTGTGAACATTTACTCTGCCTTTTGACTTTATGGGCCTCAGTTTCCCCATGTGCAAAACACTGTAAGGAGTAGGTTACACCACCTTTAGTATCCTTAGCAATCTAGGGAACCTTTATTATTAGAAAATTTAAATCAAATGGCAGAAGTGATAACATAAATCCAGTTATTTTTTATAGCAGGAAAAAAATGGATGCCTATGGTCACCTATTGAGTTTACATAAAATGTATTTCTCTTTCTTCTGTCACTTTTTCTATTCTCATCCCTGTGTTTCTCTGTTTTTACCTTTTCAGTATCTTACAAACGCCCCTTCTATGAATTGCACTGGCCGTGTGATCCTGCACTAATCTATTCCTGGGATTATTTTCGTTTCTAGACTCTAGACTGGGAAGATCAGACTCTGCACTGCGTTTATTTCTGGACCTCACATCTGTTGTAGTATCTGCCGCATGACAGGAGCTCAGGACAGTCTTTATGACCAGAAGAATGAATGAATAAACATGTGAATGAAGAAGGAGGCTGCCACGGAGAAAACACAAAAGCTTTCCACTACTCAGTATTTTGAAACACGAAAAAACTTCACCATACTTTACATTGTTGTTAAATTGTGGCAAAATATATACAACATAAAAGGTACAGTCTTAACCACCGCTAGATGTACAGTTAAGTGGCATTAAGTGTATTCACACTGTTTTGCAAACATAACCACCATCCGGCTCCATTACTTTTGCATCATCCCAAATTGAAACTCTGTCCCCATTAAACGCTAACTCCCCATTTCCGCCACTGCAGCCCCTGGCAACCATGGGACCTTGAGTTGGTTCCAGCTTTTGGCTATCGTGAATAACGCTGCTATGAACATAGGTGCACAAAAGTCCGTTCCTGACCCTGCTTTCTGTGCTGTTGGGTACCTACCCAGAAGTGGGATGACTGGATCATCCAGTAATTCTACACTGAGTTTTTTAACTGCCCTTTGACACAGAGGCTGCACCGTTTCACATTCCCACCAATAACGCACCCATTTCTCAACATGATTCCAATTTCTCTGAATCCTCACCACCACTTGTTGTTTTGGTGGTGGTGGTTTTTTTTTTTTAAATAGTAGCCAACCTAATTCTATAGCCTAATACGTGAGAAGTAGTATCTATCTCCCAGTAGTTTCAATGTGTAAGTTTCTAATGATTAGTGATACTGAATGTCTTTTCATGTGCTCACTGGCTATTTGTTATAAGTAATATTTTCGATGAGGCCCTTATGGTAGTCAGCCTATAGGCGCTCGAACTTCTTGCTCATACAATTCAGGTTCTGCATTGCTGCTCACCATGGTTTGCAGCTGGCATGCATTTGCATGGTTGACCAGTTGTCAGCCTGGTGCTGGTGGTTTGCATCTATCTCACTGGATTCTTGCCAAATGGAGAGTGGCCACGCTGGCGTCCCCATTGTAGAGATGATGCTGAGATGCACTCATGGACTTCGGCTAGATAGCACCACTAGTTACTGGCCCAGCTGTAGTTCAACCCTGGGTGTCTAACGCTCACATCATCTCTCAGCGTGAATGTGTGTTTACAGCGTTGATAAACCACACAGACACTGACCATGAAGAAAAAGCAAAACCGCTAAATAATTGAATATTCTTTAATATTACACTCATCTTAAGTAAGAAGGAATCCTGAAAAAGAAATACAGATTGCAGGTAAGCCTTTCATCTCAGGGCGATCTGAACATGCTTTCTACCCTAGACACTTTATTTTATGCCTACACACAGCCCCAAAAAGTTATTTAAGTTTTAATACAGATGGTCCTTCAGTTTGATTTATGCTATTAAGTAAAATGCTGTTATGCATAAAGGAGAAAATAAAAGAACTAGTTAAGCACTTTTTTATTAGCCTTCAGGCATGTTCATTAACTATGCCGAGACTGTTTTGCGTAATTTATGCATTTGTGCATGTACATATAGTGCCATATAAAATAGATCATTTACCCAATAAATAGGAGAAGTGTCATCCCTCTCACTCGGCTGAGGAATCTATCAGTTTCTCTTATAAATCTAGGCTGCATTTGCTGTGCATGGGAATGACCTTCCATTAAGACGCATACATCTGGGCTTGGAAAAGGTCGAAGTGCCTTTTTAAGCAGAAAATTACTGAATCAAGATCGTTAGTAGCTCTGAGTAATCTTATTATTCAGCATTCCCCTCCCCGCCTCCCCACACCGTCTTAGAAACTGCATCAGGACTGAAATCAGTTTCCTCGGCGGCTTCATTCCTCACATCTGCTGGTTGTGCAGCCTCCTTGCATTCAGTCGACCTCAAGGACCATAAAAATATTTACACATTTTTACAGATATTTAAACACTCAGTACAAATTTGTCCCATTCAACTAAGGAAACCTCAGATAATTTCCAGAGAAGCCCATCACATGCAGCTTTCTTCGGACATTCAGCAGCCAGTTCTCAGATAGTCTGGATTTGTTTGTGAAGTGGCTCCCTCCCTGATGTTTGTGAGTGAGACTGAGTTAATTCCATTTAGACCGGAGACCGTTGTGTTTAGGGTGTCTCGTGAATTGCGAACTGCACAGGGAGCTGAGCGTGGTATCTCTCCACCTTCCTCCGCCCAGAGCCCTTGGCTATGGCAAGACCCTGCACCAGGCCTCCCAGCTAGGGAAGCAGCAGCTCCGTGTGCTGTGCATGTGGCTTCCTCGCTTCCTGGTGAGCACATCCTCTTATGGGCTTACTCATTTCTGTCTGAGAAAAATAAATAAAATACTAAATAGCATGAGAACAGCGAGACATTCATCTTGTTGTAGACAGTGATCACACAGCCAGGAACTGGGGTGAGCAGGGACCTCATTTCCAGACCCTCGGGATGCCTGGAGGCGGCTGGACAGCACCGAGTTTCTTAGCAAAGTAGCTATTGTTTAAAGAGCAAAAGGGCTACACAGGAAGGCAGCAGGCAGACTGGAAGAGCAGTGTCCACTTCACACATATCCCTGACACGCAGTGACCTTCCCGAAAATGGGCTCCGTGTATCGTCAGGTCTGGTGAGATGAGGTGTCACCAGGTGTTCCAAATCAAAAATGCATTTGTGCTGGGAATGGGGGAGCTTTCTAAAGTCAGATGCATCTGTGACATGGTGGAGGTTAATGGTGTTGAACAGAGCTCTTCAAGAAAACTTGTCCCACCCCACACGTAACCCTGGCCACACACAGCCACTGAGCCAGGGTGTCTTGTGAATCATACGGGTTCGGATTAAGATGCTCATAAGGCCAGGGTCAGTGGCTCATACCTGTAATCTCAGCTCTTTGGGTGGCCAAGGCCAGCCTGAGCAACAGACTGAAAGCTCATCTCTACAAAAAAATTGCTTTAAAAAAAGATGCTCATTAAATGCAAAAACGGACACTGGATTTCTTAGTCTTGATGTGAAAAAAGGAGTCAAAAATGCCTCATTGATGTGTTCCTACTGGTTACATAGTAAAGTGATAAGATTTTGAATGCACTGGGTTAAATACACCATTAAAATTGATTTTATCTGTTCCCTTTTTACTTTTATCAGTGTCGTTATGAGGAGATTTTAGTGGTACTTGTGATTTACCTTGTGTTTCTATTGGCCAGTGCTCAGACAGGACTTCTCACAATCTTTAATATGCCAAATTGCCTTGTGTGTCCCTAAGAGATGATGTAGCAGTCAGCATTTCCAAACTAACTTGACCCCTACACTCTATCTTATAGAACATTTGTCAATCTCCCTGACACAACAACTTTCCACAGTAAATGGTTTCAGAAACCTGTCATACCAACACTTGCATGTGAGGCTGGGTCCAATTCAGACTCAGCTACCTGCCACTTTCCATCTTCTGACAAATCCACAACAATTTTCTATGCATTTGCCTTATTTGTTAACTGAAATTATCAGATACAGCCGAGAGACCAGCACTATTGGTGATACATTTTTTAATGCTCAATTCATTCATCTTATAATCTGTCAAACAATTAATATTCTTTCAATATTAAACATCAATATTTCTAAATATTTACACATTTTTACAGATATTTAAACACTCAGTACAAATTTGTCCCATTCAACTAAAATATTATTAAAACCCATTGTTATATCTGTCCATTAGACACAATTATTTTAAATGTTTCGATCATCTTTAAAAGTGTACAGAAAAAGGTCAGATGAGGTGGCTCATGCCTCTAATCCCAGCACTTTGGGAGGCCAAGGTGGGTGGATCACCTGAGGTCAGGAGTTCAAGACCAGCCTGACCAACACTTGGTGAAACCCCATCTCTACTAAAAAGACAAAAAATTAGCTGGGTGTGGTGGTGGGCGCTTGTAATCCCAGCTCCTTGGGGGGCTGAGGCAGGAGAATTGCTTGAACCCAGTAGGCGGAGGTTGCAGTGAGCTGAGATCGCACCACTGCACTCCAGCCTGGACTCCATGCTGAGTGACAGAGACTCTGTGCTTGCCACCCTCCACCCCCACCCGCCGCCCCACCCCCGCCAAAAAAAAAAGTTACAGAAAAAATATTCGACTATGAAGTGAATTACAAGAGTCGTTGTTAGAAATATGCCGCTCAGCTGGTTTCAAAAGTACTCACATTTCAACTCAACCTCAGTTAGGAGGTGGATTTTTGCATGTGTTGGATAATTAAGTCCTGAGTTTGGTTGAACTTGGAAAGTATATCAGAAAAGTAGAATGAGCAAAGACCCAAAAGGAAAGAAAAGCCACAGCCACATTTGGGAAACCCAGCCACAGGTGGAGGACTGGGGAATGCCATGGCCTCCTGTACAGCAGGAGATGTGGGCAGGTGTCCTGTCTTCAAGGCTACCCTGGAAGACCTGGGGCCTCAAAGCAGCACTTTTGTGGGCTCACACCTGAACACTTCAGCAGAAAGACGCAAAGGAAAGATGTGTATGTAGTTCTCTCAGAAATTTTTTTAAAATGGTACCATAAAATCAATCTTTTAAAAATGTGTGTGTATGTTTTTAGCCAAAAAGCTCTAAGCCAAGTGTGTCCAACCCGCAGCCTGTGGGCTGTATATAAGCCAGGATGGTTTTGAAAGTGTACCAGCAAAAATTGGTACACTTTCTTAAAATATTATAAGATTCTTTGCAATTTTTTTTAGCGTTATCAACTATTGTTAATGTTTGCATATTTTATGTGTGGCCCGAGACAATTCTTCTGCTTCCAGTGTGGCCCAGGGAAGCCAGAAGATTGGACACCGCTGCTCTAAATATTTACTTGGACATCCACTGACAAACTAACATATTGATGAGTTAAGTTCAAATGACTCTGGAATTTATGGATTACCTTTCATTTTAAACATACACAGTTTTCAGCCTCAGAAGCAAAAAGGCAAACCAAATGCTTTGTTTGAATTTTCCTGATCCTGAGGTATTTCGAAAGGAATTTACTTCCACTTTCTGCTACATTCAGTAATCCCCACCTAAGCTCTGCTTGAGTAAATCATTCTGAGAATGACTCTTCCTGAACATGGATATGTTTTCTTCCAAAATACAAGGACATCTTCACAAAGCCAACTGGAGCAATTATAACCGAAAGGTGTCACCTATCTCTTTAGTTCATTGGGGATCGTTAAGTCGGCCCTAGCAGAGGCCTGCAGGACTTATGACCTGGCTGGGGCTGCTACTGCTTCCGGGTCAGCTTTTATCCAACTCCGACATCTTTGCAAAGTCTCTTATCAGTCACTGAGATTAAAAAGCTGGTGTCTTGGCGGCACAGCCAGATTCAAATGTGGTCCCTTCTCTTACTGGTCACAGGGCTTTGACCAAGTCGGCCACCTGAGTGCCTTAGTTTCTTTATCTGAAAAGGCGTGATGCCCATCTGAATTTGAATTTCAGATGAAGGGTGGATGGTGACTTCAGCAGAAGTGCGTGCTGTGCAACGTCTGTATTTTCATTTGCTAACTCTGCCACCCTAAGCTAGAGCCCATGCTTCTCAAAACCAGATTCCAGGGGCCAGGGAGTCCCAGAAGCCACAGTCTCATCCCGAGTCAGCACAATGTTCTCCCCTGCAAGTACAGCCCACGTAATCCGGAGCGCTTAAAGCAAAGTGAAGACAGGAGCTCCTTGTTCAAAAAGCATTAGATACGGGAAGCGGAACATGACTCCAAGCCCAGGACCCTGTACCGAGGCCAGGTCCCTGCCTGAAGCCGGCTGTGCTCCACGCTGCCTCCTGCTCAGCGGTGGAAAAGTTTGAGAGACTCTGGAGTATTTTATCTCCAGTGTCCTTGGAAATAAATGATTATTTAGGGCTTCTTTGGTGGCCCAGTGATTTTTCTACACTGGCTCCACACCTTTGTCCTTAGAATTCAGTGTTATTCCTTTATGTTCCTGAGCTATGGAAATTAGAATGATAATGAAAACAGCTCTGGTTTACTGAGCACTTACTGTCAACGATTGACTCTGCTAGGACTTCCTTGTAAGTGGGTTTAATCTCTACACGATGCCAGTGAAGTAGACATTATTGAGACGGCCCCCAGCACACACACAGACACCTGTGAGACACAAAACCCAGGAGAGGGAGTCACTGACTCCCTCCATGAGCAGCTGATAGCCCCTCAGCGATAGTTCAGGGGACTTAGACCCAGTTCATCTTAGGTCCAAACCCTGTGTTTTATCTCACTCAGCTGTGCTGTCGAGAAAAGCTGATTGAGGAGCAACTGTCTTAGCCTCAATTCCCTGTCCTGTCACTTTTTAAAATAATATAGGAACTAACCTTAGAAAATGTTTTATCAATGAGCAAATTAAGGACTGGCACCGCGGCCCCCCTAGGGAAGATAAGATGCAGAGTCGACCTCGGTCCAGGCATCTGCAAAGACTGTGTGGTCCCCGGGACCGCCCTCCTCAAATCTGGGTCCCCAGCAGTGCAGGCCTGTCTTGCACAATTCTAGAATCGTCCTTCTTCCGACTTAGCATGCATCTGTTCTTGTGTTTCTACTGCCCTTGTTAAAATACATGCAGCTTTGTTACGTGCATAATTCTTTCCATTTTCTAAGCTGGGAAGATCTCTGATAAGCATTCCTTTTAATTATTCATTAACATTTTCTGCCTTTGCTTATCAAAAAGTGGTGGTAAGCTTAAGAATTCTGATTTTTTTTTTTTTTTTTACTGAAGCAGATCAGTGGCCCTGACTTCCCAACCTCTTCCTGCATTTTAGCTGCCTGTGAAGTCCAGTGACTGGGGCTCTCAAGGGACCTACTCCCGACCCCGGAGTCACACTGGAGGTGAATCTGGGACCTGGCACAGCTTCCCAAACTTCGCATCTATGAAGAGATTTTGGTTGGGCATGGCAGCTCACACCTGTAATCACAGTGAGACCCCATCCCTGTCATAAAATCAAACAAAAACAGAGGTTCTATAGCTATGTTGGCAAAAGTCTCCATGTTCTGATGGCCAAATAAATTAACGTGGGGCCAATTTGATTTTTATGAAGTAACAAGATCCTTTTAGAAAAGGAAGAATTGAGGAGGGGGAGGGGGGAAAAGAAAAAAAAACAGAAAAGGAAGAATTTTTAACCCAAATTAGGTTGATTTGAGCTGACATGTTAACTGGCTCATTTTGCTATAACACATTATTTGTGTAGGACGGGCATTTTCACTACACAGCTCTGTGTGCAAAGAAGGAATTTTGGTAAACAGAGACCGTTTCTGATCAGTGCCTAAGTCTATCCTTTATCCAGAGAGCAATGTAGGTCTACCCTCTTCCTTACAAAATTAAACTGTATAATAAGTCTTGTTCTTAACCACATTGCCGCACATTACGTCTCCACCGGAGCTGGTGTTTGTACCAAGACACAGTACACACCCACTTCAGTGACAGAATCTCAGGTCTGCTCTGAAGGCCTTCTCATTCAGACTGACAGACACGCCATGTGCCGTTTCCCTACTGACCAAAGTAAGGGTTTGTATTTTTTATTTTTATCTCCAGGACTGTCCGCTAGTAATGTAGTTGCTCCAATGACAGGCACTACCTAAAATGATAACCACATGGCAGAACACCTCATTCAGGATGGCCAAGTCATGAACGTACGGGTTTTGTGGCTGAATTTTTCTCACTTATTAGATATATATAACGTTCTTTCTTATATATGTTGAAAGAGTACCCTGTTATCTTGACAAGATCTCTATAAAGCAAGAAGTTAGAAGAGAGAGGGGAGGCTGGGCACAGTGGCTCACACCTGTAATCCCAGCACTTTGGGAGGCCGAGGTGGGTGGATGACTTGAGGTCAGAAGTTCGAGACCAGCCTGGCCAACATGGTGAAACCCCATGTCTACTAAAATTACAAAAAGTAACCAGATGTGGTAGCTCACATCTGTAATGCCAGCTACTCAGGAAGCTGAGGCACCAGAATCACTTGAACTCAGGAGGCGGAGATTACAGTGAGCTGAGATCGTGCCACTGCATGCCAGCCTAAGCAACAGAGTGAAACTCCATCTTAAAAAAAAAAAAAAAAAACGGGGAAACCATGGCCGAGAATGAAATGATGCTGCCTGGGGCTGCTTTTTACCAGAGTTTTCTCACTGTCAACTTAGGAATTAACTTCCAGATTTCAGGAAATAAACAGAGGCCAAAATTAAAACAGACTAAGACCTGTTAGGGAAGGAGGGAGACGCTGGAAAGGTGTGGAGCTGGAGCCTCTTGTGTCTGCGGAGAAGTGGATGAAGCCACCTGACTGCAGCTTCCGGGAAGAAGCTGAACGCCAGGCAGGCATGGAGAGATGAGTGTGGGAGTCAGACAGACGGACCCAGCCACCCACCTTGCAGGAGTTAAACAATGACTGGGGCTCAGAGAACAAAGCCCAAACCTGGTGCTCAGACCACGAGAACGAAGCCCAAACCCGGTGCTTTGACGTGGGTCTCTCTGCCCTCCCACCAGCTCCTGCCTCTCAGGCCTGTCTCTCCCTATGCACAGGACGAGGCCGTTCTCTGAAGCTTCCTTATCTACCTAGATACTAGACCCCCAAAGGGGAACACAATTGCCTTCAGTCCTTTCCCAGAAATTTAATTAACCAGAGAAGATTAACTCTCATGCGACAGAGGAAGAGACTGAAAATTAAGCACCACACCTGGAGCTCAGCTCAACTTTCTTCCAAACCATTGTTCATCATCTGGGCCCATTCAGTCTCCAAAGAGAATCCTCCAGTGTCTGAGCACTGGGTCCAGCCATTCCTTCTAAAAACTGCTTACGACCCCTCAAAAATTATCACAGTTTCCCCCATCTTCTCTTCCCCTATACTGTATCCCAAGAGTATAGAAGTGTGTAGACCTGGCTGGATTATTGGGTAATCATTCTCCTGGGATTCCTCTGTGCTTAGGCACATTAAGTAAACTTGTATGCTCTTCCTCCTGTTAATCTGCCTATTGTTAGTTCATTTTCAGTGAACCTTTAGAGCTCAGAAGGGGAGCTTCCCCTTGGCTCCTGGAAAACCCTCAGGTCTTTTTCCCCATTTATGGATAGGAACAAAAATAGTCCCCTCTCTTAGAGCCTGGCTGCAAACATTAAATGGGTCATTGTGTGTAAAGCGCACTGTATGCTTCTCTGCACCGAGAAAGTGCTGAGTAAAGTTCCGGGTCTCCCCACAGCCCCCTCTACTGCCTCCCTTCACCTTAAGCAGCACAGCTGGTGGGTGCTGCGCTTCCGGTATTCCAGAAGAAACTCTCTCCAATGAATCAACAGAAACGAATGTCTCTTTTGGACGTAGAGACATATTAAGAATTTAAAAACACACATCTTTGCCTGCCTTCCTGAAGGAAGATTGTAGACTCAAGATCTGAGACAGGACAAGGGAGGAGTCAAGGGTAGGAGGGTTTCATGAGGCGGTGCTAAATACCGAGGGACAAGGTGTATATGAAATAGGACTAAAAATAGTCTATAAAGCCAACGCCACAGGAAAGAGAAAACCAGTGAGTGAGAGCGTTGATTGTGCATTGCTAAATTTACAGGAACAAATGGTGCATGAGCGATTATCTGCGCTGGAACGTGGAAATGACGTCTCCAGGGAGAAGGAATGTATGGGGATTGAGGTCATCTAAGAAGGGCTTCCCTTAGCCGGGCGGGGTGGCGGCACCTGTAGTCCCAGCTACTCAGGAGGCTGAGGCAGGAGAATGGCGTGAACCTGGGAGCTTGCAGTGAGCCGAGATCGCGCCACTGCATTCCAGCCTGGGCGACAGAGCCAGACTCCTTCTCAATAATAAAAATAAAAATAAAAAATAAAAAATGAAATAAAAGAAAAGAAAAGAAGGGCTTCCCTTGGCGTAGCTGTAGCTTCCAGGCGGGAGCCAGCTGGATAGGGTTTGTCCATGTTTTGCTGTCCCGCCGCGTTAAGATTGCGGGACCCACCTGTGAAGGAGAAGAACTGAGACCAGAAAACGATACCATGGGATGGAGGAGCTGGGTTAGGACGCAAAAAGAAGGTCGACGCCGGCTCCAGAAGGGACCTAACCTGGAGAAAACCGGAGAGCTGGCGCTGAAGGGTCGGGAGAGGCCTGCTGGGCCGCGCTGGAGAGGGAGACCTGCTGGCTTCCCGTTGAATTCGGTGACACTCTCACACAGACCGTTCATTCTCCCGACTAGCCCGGTTTCCCAAGAAAGAGCAGGCAAGAGGGAAGTTCAGAGCTGCGTGCTAAACTCTCTCTTACGTCATGAAGAGCTCAAATACGTGGGAAGAGGGACATCATACCCCATACAGAAGGGCAAAAATACTCATTCGAAATAGAATGATTCTAGTATTTATCAAAATGAAAATGCATCTTTTTTTTTTTTTTTTTGCAAGTACCAGCTATAGCTCCATTTTTTATGTTTTGAAAATGAGAGCCCTCCAGGGGTTAGGCCTCTGATGGGACCCGCCCCTCTGTGTGGTGTAGGGCATGGGGGGCTTCTGTTACCCATGGCTTCTTCCACAACTTCTGACCCAGTGGTGCTGCGTCGGTTCCTGACGGTCGTGCTGTGTGCTGTCATTATTCTCATCTGTGCCCTTCAGTGCCCTCTCCAGCCACGACGCCCATTTCCCAGCCCTGGCAACGCCAACCGTGCTCTGCAATTGTAGGTGTCATTCAGCTCCATCCACACCGGGGGGATCGCAGTTTCCATAGCAACTAATGTATTTCAACCAGGGGGAAATGGAAGGTTCTCAACTATAAATAGAGTGAAAATTGAAGAAAATGAGGAGCAAAAACCAGACGCAGGTGACGGGCTATGCCTGTGGGAGAGAGAGGATTCGTATTTAGCACAAGGGCCACTGTTCAGGGCAGCACGCGGCCTTGTCCTGGTGCGGTTGTCAAATCCAGGTCAGCCTCATGCAGTCCTATTCCCGTTCATCGAGTGCATGCAAGTGCTCAGCTGCATCCAGAGAACAGCCTTCTCTCCAGATATACAGATATATTATTTTTCACTAGATTAAGACAATAATTACAAAAGACTGCCACACTTTAATAATGGTATATGCAAATTACCAGGGATAATACAACTTAGGACTGAAATAAATGTCCTGCTAAATGACCCATTGTTGGTTAAGAAAAAGACAAAAAAGGAACACGAAGGGCTCTATGATTAGTAGGCGGCAGGCTGCCGTGGGTGTCCCGTAGGGTGTGACCTGAAGCAAAGTTGCTTAAGCACATGAAACTGACCTCACAGCAGAGCAAGCAGAAACAGCCCAGCATCTAAATGACTCACTGGGGCAGCCGCAGCACCGTTTTCTTTACAACTGCCTTTATGCATACTGTCTGCCCTGGAGGAGGGAATAACTGCAATTCACATCATCGATTATTCAGACAAATCACAGAATCACAGATTTGGTGGAGGCCTTGAATGATCACCTAGTTCTCTCTCCCGCTCCAGGCAGAATTGTATTGGAATCTCCGAGACAGACTGGTTTCCGTCATCATCAATTATCTCTCCTAACAAACACTTCCAAAGATTCCGCACCCTCCTAGTTCCTCAGAAGCTGTTTAGTATGCTCTCGCTTTTAAGGATTTTAATCCAGATACCTATTGTGTGTTAAACATAATCCCAGCCTCCTCAGTGAATTATTTACCAAAATCTTGTGGTCACCTTTTCTATTACGTTTTAACTCAGCTCTTGTTATTTTATTCTCAGAAATATGGATAGTAGGTGTTCATTGTTTTTTGCCTATCACTTCACATATTTGCAACTATTACTGAATCTCCCAGGGTTCACAGAAACATGATTTTATGACAAATAAAAATATTCACAACAGGAAGTTAACTGAAAAATATAAGCTCATATTTCTGGGGAAAACAGCAATAAAGGAGAAAACAATGCAGTTAAATAATTATATCCTGGCATAGAAAGAGAAGACTGGAAGTTTTACACTCAAACATGAAGAGTTGCTATCTCTGAATGCTTGAAGGAAGGGTTCAGGGTATTCTATTGGTCTTTTCCAATGTCTTAAAAACTGTCAACCTACTTTGGAATAATAGCATCATTGTCATAATACTAAAAAGTAGCTTAATAAAACAGAATAGAGAGACTTATTGAGGTCAAAGACTGGGCGAGCATCAGAGCCTGGGTTCAAATGCAGGTGGTCTGATCCCAAATCATGGGGTACCTGGCCTAGTGAGTCCTGTCAGGCCCACATGCTCCAGCCCAGGGAGCCAGGAGAGTGGCTTAACTTCTCTCCCTGAACAAGGGAGGCTTTCCAGTGAGCCTTTCTCCATTGCCAGACTCCCCACTGGAATAAAAATGTGCAGCCTAAATGACCACAGAGCTCAACAGAGGTTAATATACGAAGATCTCATTTTAGCCAACAGGATCACATCTGGCCATCTGTAGGGCTATGGTTAAGGTTGTATTTGAAGAGGGAGAGGATGGGTAATCATGGCTACAGCTTTACTAGAAACTGATTTGTCTTTTTTCAAATTGTAATCGTTGTTTTATTTTTTCTTTTTTAACAAATTGCCACTTGCAATGCAAATATAAGGCAAATACAAGAAATCCCAACTTAATACTGGCTAAATGCTAGGCAGACTATTTGATTTAAATTAATCCATCATGTGAATCTCACATGATTTTCCACCAAAGGGATATGCCTAAATTCAGTCTCTTACACATTCCTTGTTTTTTGTTTGGTTGGTTGGTTTGGAACTTTTATTTTATTTTTCCCTCTTTTGCACTCCAAGCCACATTTTTATTCTGACAAATGGGTAGATCCATCGTTCAGTGCTAGATAAGAAAGCAAATGTGATGACCAGGAAGACGGGTGTTGACAGCGGGAACACCAGCTCCAGAAACAACCAGGGCATAGACACAAGGGATTGTTCTTATTTATTGTTTGCTAATTGTTTATATTGATACATAAGAGATGCACATATTTTCAGGGCACATACATTCATATCACATGGAAAGATCAAATCAGTGTAATTAATATCCAGCAGCCTAAATGTTTGTCTTTTATTTATGTTAGAAGCATTTAAATGATTACCTTCTAACAATTTTGAAATGTACAATAGATGATTGTAAACTATAGTCACCCTACTGATCTAGGGAGCACTAGGTGTTAGCCCTTCCTTAGCTGCATATATTTATGCCCATGAATCAACCTCTCTTCATGCTGCCCCTCACCATGGGCTCACTCTTCTTCATAGTAGAGCCATGAATTAGATATAGTCAGGGGTATGCAGGTGGGTGTTTAACAACCCCCTTCAAAGAAAGAGAGGGGAAGGGAGACAGAAGGGTGAGAGACGGATGGAAGGAAGGAAAGCAGGAAGGAAGGAAGGAAGGAAGGGAGGGAGGGAGGGAGGGAGGGAGGGGAGGGGAAGGGAGGGGAGGGGAAGGGGAAGGGCAAGAAGGAAGGAAGACAGCCTGCTTCATGGAATTTGTCCACTTGTATGGTGGGCTTTGGCATTTGTCCACCATTTGTCCACTATTGCCAGTTCCCCCTACCAAGGTGCCATCACTGAACTCAAGGCGGGGAGGAGATACACATAGTTGGCCCTCGTGAGTGTGTATGAGCTGCCATCAACACATCACTGACACAATTTCATTTTTTTTTTGTCTCTTGCTGAGGATTTCCTGAATTTCAGCCTATCTTTACAAAAACAAACAGACAAAAAGCTGTGTATAATCTTAGAAAGCGCATTATTATAAGTCAAAGAATATCTAAATGAATTAAAAAACCCATGCTGTGTTCAAGGATTGGAAGGTTTAATGTGGGAAAGATGCCATTTCTCCCCAGATTGATCCCCTCAATTCTTATAAAAATCCCAGCACAAGGCTTGGTAGACAATGACGAGTTTATAGCAAAGTTTACATGGAAAGATGAAAAAACTGGAACAATTCAAATAATTTTGGGGAAAAAAAATGGAAGGACGCATTTTGCTTGACCTCAAGACTTATTCTGCAGTGGCCACAATCAAGACTATGATATGGGTGGAGGGACAGACACATGGCCCAAGGGAACAGAGCAGAAACCCCAGAAATAGAACAACACAAATATACCAAATGGATTTTTGTCAAAAGAGCAAAAGCAATTTAGTGGAGGGAGAATAGTTTTTCCAAAAATAAAAAGTGATAGCAGACATTGGGATGGCTTTCACCTCTTGGCTACTGTGAATGACACTGCCATGAACATGGGTATGCAAACACCTCTTCAAGGTCCTGCTTTCAGTTTTTTTTTGGCATAAACAAAATGTGGTCTACATGTACAAGGAAATACTATTCAGCCTTAAAAATGAAATAAATTCTGACACATTATACAACATGGGTGAATCTTGAGGACATTACGCTAAATGAAATAAACCAGTCACAAAAGGAACAATATGACACGATTCTATTCCTATGAGGCATCTAGATTTGTTAAATTCATAGCAACAGAAAGTAGAAATGTGGTTACCAAAGAATGGGGGGATGGGAAATTGGGAATTATTGTTTAATGGGTACCAAGCTTCAGTTTGGAAAGATGAAAAAGTTCTGGAGGTGGATGGTGGTGCTGGTTGCACAACAGTGTGAATGTAATTAATGCCCCTGAACTGCACAGTTAAAAAATGCTTGACATGGTAAATTTTATAGTATGTGTCTTTTAACACAAATGTTTTAAATGGTGCTGGAGCTATTACATATATAAGATAAAAGCAAAAAACAACAACAACAACAAAAAACAAAACTTGGACTGAAAGTTATACTGTAAAAACATTATTTAAAAATAGATTACAAATATAAATATAAAATAAAAACTGCAAAACTTTTAGAAGAAAAAATAGAAGGCAATCTTCAGGAACTAAGTCCAGGCAAAGAGTTCAGAGACATGACGCCAAACACATGAACCAAAAGAAAAAAGAAGATAGTAGGCTTCATCAAAATGTAAAATTCTGTGCTCTAAAATTCCCTGTTAACAGGATGAAAAGACAAGCTACAGATTGGAAGATATCATTTGCAGACCTCATATCTGACAAAGACGTTGTATCTAGAATCTAAAAAGAACTCACAAATCTCAACATTAAAAAAACAAGCAACCCACTTAGGGAACATTTCACTGAAAGGGAGACACAGATGGTGAATAGCCCCATGGAAAGATGTCCAACAGCATCAGCCACTGCGGTGTGTGACTAAAAAGCACAATGCAGTAGCATGACACTCCTATCAGGACATGTAAAATAAACGATGGTCATAACACCCAGTGCTTGTGAGGATGTGGAGAAATGAAATCACTCATGCATGGCTGCTGGGAATGAAAATGGCGCAGCTATTCTGGAAAACAGGTTGGCAGTTGCTTGCAACTCCAGGCATGTGCCTGCCATGTAACCCAGCAAGGGTATTCCAGGGCATTGATGCCAGAAAATTAAAACTAACCCACACAGAAAAGCTGTGCATGAATACTTAAGGCAGCTTTCTTTGTAACAGCAAAAAAAAACTGGAACAACATGAATTTCCTGCAGTGAGTGAAAGGTTCTACAAACCATGGTTCATCCACAGAGCAAACTGCTATTTTAGCAATAAAGAGGAACAGACTCGTGACCCACGCTGCAACCCAGATGGATCTCCAGGGCATCAGGCCTGGTGAAAAATGTCAACCTCAGAAGGTTCCATATTGTGTGATTCCATTTATAAACATTCTCAAAATGACAGTAGAGATGGAGAACAGATTTGTAGTTGCCCAGGGACAGGGACTGGGGCTTGGAAGGCAGATATGAAAGGACAGCTCAAGGGGTTTCTAGTAGGGCTGGAACAGGTGTGCATTTTGGTTGTGATGGTGGTTATGGGAATCCAGCATGGGATAAGACTGCCAGACATTACACACACACACACACACACACACACGCGGTCGAATGCATGTAAAAACTGGTAAGCGCTGAATTAGGTCTGTGTGATCCAGCTAACATTTATGTACCAATATCCACATCCTGGCTTTGAGCTTGTACTTTGACCTTGAACTTTGACCTTGTGACAGAAGATGACATCATGGGGGAGGTGGGTGAAGGGGCTCTATGAATTATTTTTACAACTTCCTGTTACTCTGTAATTATTCCAAAATACAAAGTATTTTTTCTTTTTAGTTTTAGTTGACATATATAAGGATGCGTATTAATGGGTTACAGAGCAACATACAATGCATAACGATCAAACCAGGGTAATTAGCATATTTATCACCTAAAACATTTACCATTTCTTTGTGATAACATTCAAAATCTTCTTTTCTAGTTTCTCAGAAATATACATTATTGTTGACCATGTTCACCCTACAGTGTTATAGAACACTAGAACTTATTCCTCCCATGTAGCTACAGTTTCAAAATACAAAGTACATTTTTTAATCACATTAAAAAGCAGTAGATGCAAACAGCCAAATGAATGATAGTGACAGCATCTATCAAAGTTAATTGGACCGAAGATAATTATTCCTCTTCTTCCCCAACCCCTCTCATTTTGCAATCTTAAAGTTTTTTAATGATTAAAAATGTTAAGAAACAAATACGTTTATTTAAAACACATATATCAGGTCCAGGCAAGGTGGCTCATGCCTATAATGCCAGCACTTTGGGAGGTTGAGGCAGGAGTGTCTCTTGAGCCCAGGAGTTGAAGACCAACCTGGGTAACATAGGGAGACTCCATTTCTTAAAAAAAAAATTAAAAAATAAAAATAAATTAGGCGGGCGTGATGGCACATGCTCATAGTCCCAGTTACTCTGGAGGCTGAGGTGGCAGGATCCCTTGAGTCTGGGAGGTTGAAGCTGCAGTGAGCTGTGATTGCACCCTGCACTTCAGCCTGGGTGACAGAGTGAGAACCTGTCTCAGAAAAATTAAAATAAAAATTGATAAATAAATAAATGTGTGCGTGTGTGTAAATGTAGGGTTTGTAGAGCATGTGCAGGGGCCCCAAAGCCCACCTGCAGATTTAGCTGGATCCCAGGAGCAGGAGATGAGATGAGATTCTCCAGAGAGCAGCTGCTGAGGCACACACACACCTCCTTTCTATTTCCAGTTAGTTGTTCTTTCCAGCCCCTTCTTTGGCTCTTCTTGGAGGCGGTCTCAGGCTTACACCCTGGGGCCTGGCGCTGCCTTCTCAGCTGTAGGGCTGTCACAGCATCTCCCACCCTCCTTCCCTAGCCATATGACGACCCCTGGCAGCACGGTCCCATCCTGCTGGCAGCCCCGAGCTACAAAATCGAATGAATAATAACCTTCTGATTCAGAGCTGTGACTCTCTTGCAAGAAGCAAGTGGCACATTCTTCACTAAGTGTTAAAATATGGTCAGCACTACAGATATTTTTTGAGTGGAGACAGGTTGCAGAAAAGGCATTCAAATGACACCAAGAAACCCTCTTATGAAATGTATTCTGCAAGCCAACCCTCTCTTCCTGTTATGTTTGCATGTGGCTTTTAGGTGAATAGTATTGTCATGATTGCCATCGCTACTCAAGTCACCTGCCGATAGCCAGGATGTCCCACCTCAGTTAAGCTGCCCGGAGAGGCCAAGGGAATGGAAGCTCCTACTCCTATGGAGACACTCTAATTGTGGAAGCAAAAGGGGATATAAAGGCAATGTCTTAGGTCTCAATGTTTATCTTCCAAGCCGTGGCTTTCAGAAGCTATGCATGTAAAATCTTTCAATGGATAATGGAACAGATTTCCTCTGACCTACCGGGAAGATCCACCATGAGCAGCTCACACAGATTCTCCACCAAGCGCTTCCCTGCACAACGTGCAATGATATAATTACCTTCTGTGCCAGTCAGTCCTCAGAGATGCAGTTGGCACCAAGCACAGAGCGCCACTAGACAGCCACATGGCCCTCCCTCTCCCACTGGGATATTTTTATTCAGAAATTTCAGTGCCGGCTTCAGTTTTTGGCTGCTGGATTCCTGAATCTGTCTTGCGGGGCCTCCTGCCCGCGGTAAATCTTCGGAGCTGCCTTTGGATAAGGGAAAATGATTCATAATGGAACCAAAGAGATTCTTTTAATGAACTTGCCCCAGGGGGATACCAAGCTCTTTTTATGATCAAATTTAATGAATCATAATGAATTTCATCACATGAAAATGATGTGTCTACACCATAAAGGAGACGCAAAGCTCACTGGCCCAGACTCAAGTGGGAAGAACAACAGGGAAACTATTTGTAAGGAATGTAGAGGGGCACAAAGTAAAAGAGTTTGAGTAGATTTTAAATATTACTAATGAGGTGTATAAATATAGCACACATGATCTCCAAAGTAATTTTCCACAAAGATGCTAATAATATGTACAAGTTACAGTAGCCTTCTATAAGGGCTCTTAAAGCCTTTTTTCTCAACTTTGTTTTTTAGAGTAGAGAATTTGTTCCCTTTAAGATGTGACATTCTCACAAGGATACCCAGCATTGGATTAAGAGCCACCCTAATCCAGTGTGACCTCATCTTAATTTAACTAATGGGATCGACAAAGACCCTGTTTCCAAACAAGGTCACACTCCGAGGTCCCAGGTGGGCATGGATTTGGGAAGGACAGTGTAAAAAAATTATGAGTCTTTCAGATATTTGCCTGGATTCTCCTTTCTTCATTTTCCTCTTTTTTTTTTTTTTTTTTGAGACAGTCTTGCTCTGTCACCCAGGCTGGAGTGCAGTGGCGCGATCTTGGCTCACTACAAGCTCCGCCTCCTGGGTTCAAGCCATTCTCCTGCCTCAGCCTCAGGAGTAGCTGGAATTACAGGCGCGCGCCACCACGCCTGGCTAATTTTTTGTGTTTTTAGTAGAGATGGGGTTTCACCCTGTTGGCCAGGCTGGTCTACGAATTCCTGACGTCAGGTGATCCGCCCGCCTCGGCCTCCCAAAGTGCTGGGATTACAGGCGTGAGCCACCGCACCTGGCCTCCTTTTTTTTATTCACAGGCAGCTCGCTCCTGCTCTTGCTCCCCTAGTTCCTGCGAAGAAATCATGCCCCGGCAGTGCCCGGCAGCACCTCGAGGAGAGCCCCGAGACACTCAAAGGGCGCAGAATCCCAACAAACACATCCGGGCACTGGTAGAAGCGGCTCACAGGGGCTCCCGGGAGGTCAGCGTGGCACCCCCTCCCAGCACCACTCTCTGCCGTCGCGCTGGCAGCCTGAGTTAGCGATGGTGGGCACGTTTACACCATGGAGACTGGCAAATGCTGCCACTCAGAACTTTCAAAAATGCTTCTGAGCCAGTGTATCAACTCAGCTCTGGACACATCCTATGTCTCAGTTTGGTTATCTGTTGCATATAACAAAATACCTGAAACTGGGTAATTTTTTTTTTAAATGAATTTATTTCTCCCAATCCCGAAGGCCGTGAAGTTCAGGGTCAAGTGGCCGCATCTGGCAAAGGCCCTCTTACTGGTGGGGGCTCTCCACAGAGTCCTGAGGGGTCATCTCATGGTGAGGTGCTGAGCATGCTGGCCCAGCTCTCTCCTCTTCCTGTAGAGACACAGCCCCTCTCCTGTGATTACCCACTAATCCATGAGAGGATTAATCCATTAACCCTTGAAGGCATTAATCCATTCTTCAAGACA
The DNA here is from genome assembly GCF_000001405.40 of Homo sapiens. Lineage (NCBI taxonomy): Eukaryota > Metazoa > Chordata > Mammalia > Primates > Hominidae > Homo > Homo sapiens. The sequence continues at coordinate 3,322,543 of NC_000010.11, read as the reverse complement.
GACACCTCATAATCCAATCACCTCTTAAAGGCCCACCTCTCAATACTGCCGTGTTGGGAATTTTGCGTGAATTTGGGAGGGGTGAATATCCAAACCTCAGCTCCCTAACACAGTGCATGGCTTCATCTCCTGACATGAGAAAGCTTGGCTCCTCCCAGCTCTGGTGGTCATTACAGACAAATTCTGGTGGTTGCCTATTCTTCATTCAACCTACGGGTGCCTGAGTTCTAATGATGCCAGCACTAGGCCACAGGCAGGCACTAGAGGCCTGCAGAGCCATGGAACACAGCCCCAAGCTCCTGCCCACAGCTGTCCCCAGTGCTGCTCCTGCCTCTGCCCACCTCAGCACCTTGAGAGCTATGGGGTTGCCCACATCACTGGATGATTCCACCCAGAGACAGTGTATTAGTACTCTCTAGAGGGACAGGACTCATAGGATAGATGTATATATGAAGGGAGTTTATTAAGGAGTATTGACTCACATGATCACAAGGTGAAGTCCCACAATAGGCCGTCTGCAAGCTGAGGAGTAAGGAAGCCAGTTTGAGTCCCAAGACCTCTAAAGTAGGGAAGCCGATAGTGCAGCCTTCAGTCTGTTGCTGAAGGCCCAACAGCCCCTGGCAAACCACTGGTGTAAGTTCAAGAGCCCAAAGCTGAAGAACTTGGAGTCCAGTGTTCAAGGGGAGGAAGCATCCAGCACGGAAGAAAGATGGAGGCCGGAAGACTCAGCCTGTCCAGTCCTTCCACATTCCTCTGCCTGCTTTTATCCTAGCCATGCTGGCAGCTGATTAGATGGTGCCCACCCAGACTGAGGGTGGGTCTGCCTTTCCCAGCCCACTGACTTAAATGTTAATCTCTTTTGGCAACACCCCCACAGACACACCCAGAATCAATACTTTGCATCCTTCAATCCAATCAACTTGACGCTGAATATTCACCATCACAGACAGCAAAGCAGTGGCACAGGAACCAGGTCTGGCTGGCCGTTGTGTTTTCTTTGGCCCATGCAGTATTTTAATTGAAATATATGCCATTTTTTTTAATTGGGGGAATTTCCACTTTTAAAAACCCGAACTCCTGAGGTCTTGATAATCTGTAGGTGTGGCCCCGCCCTGCCATGTCAGCGCTCATCTTTAGAGCAGAGAGACAGCTTTCTACTGCAGCGGACCGTGTGGTCCTCAGCCAGCTAGTGCTCCGGACGTTGAGAGTCTGCTATGCACAGCACTCACCCCTCCCGTGTCCACACCCGTGTCCACACCCATCAGCCCTGAGGGATTGAATTTCACATCAACAGGCAAACTCTCTTCCCTGCATCAGTCCCCATCTCCATACCACCACCACCTTCTCCAGAAAGGAAGTTCTTCTCTATCTCACCCAATACAGCCTCCTGAGTTCCAATTAGAGAAAATTAAAGTCTTAGTTCAGTAGGACACTGGTGATGTCTCCCCACACCCAGATGCAAACGGCATCACCTCACTCTCAAACTCGTGACTGATGGAGCTTCCATCTTGTCCAACAAGTAACATGACCGGTCTACCTACGTCACCACCGAAAGTTGGTCAACATCCGTTCACTGCATTCTTCCACCCAGAACATGACATTTGTCAGCAACCAACATTTCTGTCCCCAAAGGTCATGTGCATCACCAAGCGCCACTTCCACTGCAGAAGTCGGGGGTACCTGGGGAATCGCAGCCTGCCCAAGAGATTCATCAGAACATCCTTCCCTGAGAAATGACAGTGCCCTTCATGTACAGCCCACCGCCAGACACGGGAAAAGTCATCTCTGACCAGGCAGCCCGCCAGCTGTGTGTTGAGTTTAGTACATATTAAATGACCGCGTTGTAATGTAGAAGATTGCTCCTTGGAACCACACAAGGTCGAGGGCACTATTGACCCCACAGATCTTTGACTCCCGTGACTCCACCTTGGGCACCCGATCCTCTTTGCGCAGCTTCCTGAAGCCTCCTGAGCCCACCCTAATTCCACAGACAGCTCCTTGGACCCCACAGTCTGGAAAGAGAAGCCTGACCACGTTGCTGCAGGACTCTCTCGCTTAACCACCTCCCGCTCCACTCCGGGTGCTTTGTGCCCTGGAAAGGACAGAGCCTGAGAGAACGTGCATAGAAGTTTCCCTCCCGCCTCAGCAACTGCCTGGTGTTGAGAGGTGACAGCATGCTGGCAGCCCTCGCTCGCTCTCGGTGCCTCTTCGGTGTTGGCACCCATTCTGGCCGCGCTTGAGGAGCCCTTCAGCCCGCCGCCGCACCGTGGGAGCCCTTCTCTGGGCTGGCCGAGGCCGGAGCCGGCTCCCTCGGCTTGCCGGGAGGTGTGGAGGGAGAGGCATGGGCAGTAACCAGGGCTGCATGTGGCGCTTGCGGGCCAGCTCGAGTTCTGGGTGGGCGTGGGCTTGGCGGGCCCACACTCTGAGCGGCTGGCCGGCCGGCCGGCCCTGCCTGCCCAGGGCAGTGAGGGGCTTAGCACCCAGGCCAGCAGGTGCAGAGGGTGCGCCGGGTCCCCCAGCAGTGCTAGCCCACTGGCGCTGGGCTCCATTTCTCTCCAGGCCTTGACTGCCTCCCCGTGGGGCAGGGCTGGGGACCTGCAGCCTGCCATGCCTGAGTCTCCCCCCAACTCCCCTGCCGTGCACTCCTGCGCGGCCCCAGCCTCCCCGACGAGCGCTGCCCACTGCTCCACGGCGCCCGGTCCCATCAACCGCCCAAGGGCTAAGGAGTGCGGGCGCACGGCCTGGGACTGGCAGGCAGCTCCACCTGCAGCCCAGGTGTGGGATCCACTGGGTGAAGCCAGCTGGGCTCCTGAGTCTAATGGGGACTTGGAGAACCTTTATGTCTAGCTAAGGGATTATGAATGCACCAATCGGCACTCTGTATCTAGCTCAAGGTTTGTAAATGCACCAATCAGCACTCTGTGTCTAGCTCAGGGTTTGTAAATACACCAACAGACACTCTGTATCTAGCTAATCTAGTGGGGACCTGGAGAACTTTTGTGTCTAACTCAGGGATTGTAAACGCACCAATCAGCACCCTGTCAAAACAGACCAATCAGCTCTCTGTAAAATGGACCAATCAGCAGGATGTGGGTGGGGCCAGGTAAGAGAATAAAAGCAGGCTGCCCGAACCAGCCATGGCAACCAGCTCAGGTCCCCTTCCACACTGTGGAAGCTTTGTTCTTTCACTCTTTGCAATAAATCTTGCTGCTGCTCACTCTTCGGGTCTACACTGCCTTTATGAGCTGTAACACCACGAAGGTCTGCAGCTTCACTCCTGAAGCCAGAGAGACCACGAACCCACCGGGAGGAACAAACAACTCCAGACGCGCCGCCTTAAGAGCTGTAACACTCACCCCGAAGGTCTGCAGCTTCACTCCTGAAGTCAGCAAGACCACGAACCCACCAGGAAGAACGAGCAACTCCAGACATGCCACTTTAAGAGCTGTAACACCATGAAGGTCTGCAGCTTCACTCCTGAGCCAGCAAGACCACGAACCCACCGGGAGGAACGAACAGCTCCAGACGCGCCGCCTTAAGAACTGTAACACTCGCTGCGAGGGCCCGCAGCTTCACTCCTCATCCAGTGAGACCACAAACCCACCAGAAGGAAGCAACTCCGAATACATCCGAACATCAGAAGGAACAAACTCTGGACGCGCCACCTTTAAGAACTGTAACACTCACCGTGAGGGTCCGCGGCTTCATTCTTGAAGTCAGTGAGACCAAGAACCCACCAATTCCAGACACAGTGTGGCAGGGATTCTCCTCACCCTGGGCCTGGGGACGCTGGGCCCTCGCTATTCCAGAGCGTGGCTGTGACAGGTGCGATCCAATCTGTCCCGTCCGGGGCCTGGGAAACTCGGCCGCCTATCCCGCTGCTGCCCACTGCAGAGGCTGCCGGGAAATACAGGTCCGTGGCCCGGGAGACTCGGCCGCCTATCCCGCTGCTGCCCACACAGAGGCTGCAGGGAAATACAGGTCCGTGGCCCGGGAGACTGGGCCGCCTATCCCGCTGCTGCCCACACAGAGGCTGCCGGGAAATACAGGTCCGTGGCCCGGGAGACTCGGCCGCCTATCCCGCTGCTGCCCACACAGAGGCTGCCGGGAAATACAGGTCCGTGGCCCGGGAGACTCGGCCACCTACCCCGCTGCTGCCCACTGCAGAGGCTGCCTGGAAATACAGGTCCGTGGCCCGGGAGACTCGGCCGCCTATCCCGCTGCTGCCCACACAGAGGCTGCAGGGAAATACAGGTCCGTGGCCCGGGAGACTCGGCCACCTACCCCGCTGCTGCCCACTGCAGAGGCTGCCTGGAAATACAGGTCCGTGGCCCGGGAGACTCGGCCGCCTATGCCGCTGCTGCCCACACAGAGGCTGCCGGGAAATACAGGTCCGTGGCCCGGGAGACTCGGCCGCCTATCCCGCTGCTGCCCACGCAGAGGTTGCCGGGAAATACAGGTCCGTGGCCCGGGAGACTCGGCCGCCTACCCCGCTGCTGCCCACGCAGAGGTTGCCGGGAAATACAGGTCCCTGGCCCGGGAGACTCGGCCGCCTACCCCGCTGCTGCCCACGCAGAGGCTGCCGGGAAATACAGGTCCGTGGCCTGGGAGACTCGGCCGCCTACCCCGCTGCTGCCCACGCAGAGGCTGCCGGGAAATACAGGTCCGTGGCCTGGGAGACTCGGCCGCCTACCCCGCTGCTGCCCACGCAGAGGCTGCCGGGAAATACAGCAGTCCTCCTGAGCAGCTTCTGACTCTCACCACTTCATATCAACTCTCTCGTTCTTGCTTTCCAGGCTCCTGGCTTCATATTCTGAATTTTGCATCTGCTTCTAATACTTTTTTTTGAGACCAAGTTTCACTCTGTCACCCAGGCTGGAGTGCAATGGCACAATCCCGGCTCACTGCAACCTCCACCGCTTGGGCTCAAGCGATTCTCATGCCTCAGCCTCTGAGTAGCTGGAATTACAGATGCGCGCCACCACACCCAGTTTATTTTATTTTATTTGTTTTATTAGTAGACATGGGGTTTCTCCGTGTTGGCCAGGCTGTCCTCGAACTCCTGACCTCAGGTAATCCACCCGCCTTGGCCTCCCAAAGTGCTGGGATTACAGGGTGAGCCACCGTGTCTAGCCTGCTTCTAATACTTTTAAACTCGTTTGTGGGATCCAAGCACGTCAATCCCCCACTTGCTTCTTGTTTCTACCTTCTCTTACTGAAGTGTCTTCTGTGGTTTAAAACAAAAAGGATTCTCTCCCTGGGGCTCACTCCTGTCACTGACACCACTCTGTCCCTACTCCATGTCCAGTTATTCCTGGGGCATGTGAGAGCTCCTTCCAAAGGCCATATCCAACTCTCACGTGAATTTACCACGTATCATCCTTCAATCCTTGACCTTGGAAATAAACTTGGAATTAACTTGGATCTCATTTCCACTTAAAATAGCCCTGGTGCAGTAGCTCGTGCCTGTGATTCCAGCACTTTGGGAGACCGAGGCAGGGGATTATTTGATCCCAGGAGTTTGAACCAGGCTGGGCAACATGGTGAAACCCTGTCTCTACGAAAAAATAACAATTAAAAAAATTAGCCAGGCAAGGTGGCACGCACCTCTAGTCCCAGCTACTTGAGAGGCTGAGGTGAGAGGATCACCTGAGTCCAGAAAGTCAAAGCTACAGCCTGCTCTGTTCACACCACTGCACTCCAGGCAGGGCAACAGTGAGACCCTGTCTCAAAAACAAACAAACAAAAAAAAGATCAAAATATGCTAAGCCTTTTGCCATGAAATCCCAGCCGTAAACTTATTCAAAAAAAATTAGAAAAAATTAATTAAATGCAAATGAGATTATTATTATATTTTAAAATATAAGACATATAAAGGGAAGATATTGAAGACCAGGTCAAGCCACCATAAAATAATCAAAAATAAAATAATCAAAAGTCAACTATGTTTCCTATGTCATAGAAAAACCTCTCTCAAAAGTTAGTAACTGAAAATTGAAGACATGCAGGATTCTGTCAGTGTGGAAAGAAGTAAATGATTTCAAGAATTGGCCCTAATAATAAACACAGAAAAAGAGATCTTAGAAAGCCATTAGGAACAACTGTAAATACAATATAGTCATAAGTAAGCCACGTTAAGTCTGTATTTGCATAAGTCAAACTGATAAGAAAATCAAATTATTTGGAAAATTTTATGTATGAAAAAGGAGCCAATGAGAAAAAACCAGATTGTCGTTTGGATCATCTGGCTGGTCACCTGTATTCACTGTACTAATTGAATATTTTATTTTACTTCACTCGAGTAGATAAACCCTAGATGAACTTAATAAACCAAGTGAAAGAAAAAGGAATGATGTATTTGATATAGATCTTTATCAGAAATTATAGCTTTAAAATTATTTAAATGTCCCTTTCTTCTACCTAGGTTTTCGTATCTCTTTTGGCTAATATACCCATATAATTAACTGCATATTTTGGTTTTCATTTAGACACAAATAAGGAGATAGAAGAAACTATTCTTTTTATGTACTTAATGCTTTATATATTTTTCTCATTTAATCTTTACAGTAATCTTTAATAAAATTACTTTACATATGAGGTATTTTAGTTTAGAAGTCAAATAACTTGCCCAAATTTCCATTACAAAGAATGATTTTAATAAGAATTCAAATCCAACTCTCTCTGACACCTGGCTAGGGTCTTTCAGGTACCCCAGCAAATCATAAACTAGACTTTATTAAATACAGATGTTCTGTGAGGACGCAGCAGCAGTTCTACTACTGTTTGCTTCTACATCATTTCTAAATCTTTTCATTTTGAAATAATTTTAGGTATAGGGAAGAGTTAAAAATAATAGGACAGAGCAGCCGGGTGCGGTGGCAGGCACCTGTAGTCCCAGCTACTCGGGAGGCTGAGGTAGGAGAATGGCGTGAACTCGGGAGGCGGAGCTTGCAGTGAGCCGAGATTGTGACACTGCACTCCAGCCTGGGCAACAGAGCAAGACTCCTTCTGAAAAAATAATAATAATAAAAATCATAGGACAGAGCTGGTTATGCTGATACCCCAGGATTCCCTGATATTAACACTGACGTAACCAGGGTCCCTTTATCAAACCTGAGAAACTGACATTTCCACATGCCCCAAACTGCAGACTTGAGGATTTTATCTGTTTTTTCACTAACGTCCTTCTTATGTCTCAGAGACCAATCAAGGATCCCACATCTAAATCCATCACCCCGGCTCTTCTGTCCTGTTCAGTCTTCCCTCACTCTGTGAAGTCATGCTACCCTTCCCTCACTCTGTGAAGTCACCGTCCCTTCCCTCACTCTGTGAAGTCACCGTCCCCTTCCCTCACTCTGTGAAGTCACCGTCCCTTCCCTCACTCTGTGAAGTCACCGTCCCCTTCCCTCACTCTGTGAAGTCACCGTCCCCTTCCCTCACTCTGTGAAGTCACCGTCCCCTTCCCTCACTCTGTGAAGTCACCGTCCCCTTCCCTCACTCTGTGAAGTCACCGTCCCCTTCCCTCACTCTGTGAAGTCACCGTCCCTTCCCTCACTCTGTGAAGTCACCGTCCCTTCCCTCACTCTGTGAAGTCACCGTCCTCTTCCCTCACTCTGTGAAGTCACTGTCCCTTCCCTCACTCTGTGAAGTCACTGTCCCTTCCCTCTCTCTGTGAGTCACCCTCCCCTTCCCTCACTCTGAAGTCACTGTCCCTTCCCTCACTCTGTGAAGTCACCCTCCCCTTCCCTCACTCTTTGAAGTCACCCTCCTCTTCCCTCACTCTGTGAAGTCACTGCCCCCTTCCCTCACTCTGTGAAGTCACCCTCCTCTTCCCTCACTCTTTGAAGTCACTGTCCCCTTCCCTCACTCTGTGAAGTCACTGCCCCCTTCCCTCACTCTGTGAAGTCACCCTCCTCTTCCCTCTGTGAAGTCACTGTCCCCTTCCCTCACTCTGTGAAGTCACCCTCCTCTTCCCTCACTCTGTGAAGTCACTGCCCCCTTCCCTCACTCTGTGAAGTCACTGCCCCCTTCCCTCACTCTGTGAAGTCACTGTCCCCTTCCCTCACTCTGTGAAGTCACTGTCCCTTTCCTCACTCTGTGAAGTCACTGTCCCCTTCCCTCACTCTGTGAGTCACCATCCCTTCCCTCACTCTTTGAAGTCACCCTCCTCTTCCCTCACTCTGTGAAGTCACCCTCCTCTTCCCTCACTCTTTGAAGTCACTGTCCCCTTCCCTCACTCTGTGAAGTCACCCTCCTCTTCCCTCACTCTGTGAAGTCACTGCCCCCTTCCCTCACTCTGTGAAGTCACTGCCCCCTTCCCTCACTCTGTGAAGTCACTGTCCCTTTCCTCACTCTGTGAAGTCACTGTCCCCTTCCCTCACTCTGTGAAGTCACTGCCCCCTTCCCTCACTCTGTGAAGTCACCCTCCTCTTCCCTCTGTGAAGTCACTGCCCCCTTCCCTCACTCTGTGAAGTCACTGTCCCCTTCCCTCACTCTGTGAAGTCACTGCCCCCTTTCCTCACTCTGCTGAGTCACCCTCCCCTTCCCTAACTCTGCTGAGTCACCATTCTCCTTTCTTCATTCTGGGAAGTCGCTGTCCACAGAGTCACCCAGTTCAGCTCACACTCAGGTCTCAGTATGGGGAGACTGAGCTCCACTCTCTGATGGAAGGCGTACCAGGAGTGTGGGGCCCTGTGGAAACCATCCCAGTACTGTTTAAGTATTTGGAGGAGTTGCTTGGGGCTATGTAAGTACCCAGCTCCTCCTTAAAGCTTTGCCATGAATTTATTATTCTTCAGGGTTTCTGGCCCATGACATCATTACTATGCAGGTCTGAAGGTGATTTTCCCATTTCCTTCATTCCTTCCACATTTGTTATTTGGAATTCTTATTTGGAAGAAATTGGAATTGTTATTTGGAAGGAAGGCTTGTCTACTCTCCTCATTTATTTATTTCTTCAATCACTTATTTGTATATTTACAAGATATTTTAACTTCTTAATGGTAAACTAACACACAGCCACACTTGAGTGGCAAGCTGGGGTGTATTATGTCCTGTGCTCACACATTGGGGAATGCCAAGTGCATTTCTGCTCTCATATCACCATATTAATTTATTTTTGTTTGAACTACAGGTGTTTTCTTTCTACCTCTATCTCCACTCTGAACTCTTGAGACAGAACATTGATTTGGGATGTTTGCAGCTCTTCTTGGGGGGTACATGGATGTGTGTGATGTGTGCTGACTTAAGCTGAGGGGACCCACCATATGATTGCGTATGTAAGTAACTACTTACCTATGTGAAGCAGAACTTTCTTGATATAGTGCAAACAGAATACACTGCAGGCAGAATCTGGAGGCTGATATAACCCTATGTTCATCTTCCATAAGCCCTGTTATCAGTGGATGGCGAATAACAAGGTAATTTTTGAAGCCTGAGTATATAAAATACCTTATTCTAGAAGGAAAAAAGGGGAAGGAAAGAAAAAGCAAAGACAGACAAAACAAAGAAAAAATGCAAAGAAGAAAGGAAGGGAAGGAGAGGGAGATGAAGCCAGGGAGAGAGGAAGGGAGGGAAGGAGAAATGAAACAATTCTTCACCGTGTCTCTGCTTCACATGTTGGAATACCAAATCAGAGCTTGCAGAAGGAAGGGGCTCCATGACAAACACATAGCTAAGTGCCATGGAACCACACCTTCCCATCTCCCCAGCAGGACATTTGTTCACTTATTTTTGCATCTCCTTGTTGAGACGCCAACATTTCGTTCTACTTTAATTGCTTCTCAGTATGTTATGCTTCAGAACCGCCCTTCTCAGAGTTTTCTGAATCTCTATTGTTATGCTTGGACCAACCAATTCCCAAGCTTTGCAGCCCTCTTTAGTTTGCCGACCTGAGCAATTCGGAGGAAGATAATTGAGACTCGCCTTCAGCGAAGCGCGCTGGCTTTAAGTGAGCAGACTTTGGGTTTGCACCTGGTGCTGTCCCTCCGTGCTGCTGAAAAGGTCATCCGTGTTTTCAAGAGTATTTTCCAGAGGCTCTAGGCCATTGTAAAACAAACAACCTAGGCGATTTTTAACAATTTACAAGAGTTAAGCTTAGGTGTAAATTGTTTCTTTGAAAAATACAAAATGTAGATATTGTCCAAACAAACTTTACTTTTAGGTAATTTAGTAGAAAATGCGTTTGGTAGGAGCCTTTCAGAAGATGCAGCAATTAGTAAAAATGAATCTACCGTAAACTATGCAAAGATCTATTTGACATTTGGTAATTACTTAATTTCCATAAAGGCAGAATTATTTTAAAAAAGACTAAAACTAGTGAATTATTTATGGATTCCCTAAATACAGTGTGAATATTTCTTTTGGCTTAATTTTTGAAAATGGGCCTTCATATTTCTTTTGTTTGTTGGAGAGAACAGATAATATTCTGAAGAGCAGGTTGACTTCACCAAGTGAGGGAGGGAGCCTCTGGTCTAGAAAATATATAAAAATGCTTTGAATCTGAAATGGAAGCATCAGAATTCTAGCAGCAATAGAATTAAAAACTCACTGTAGGCCATGGATTTTTATTAGCTACCAAAACTTGCTTCTTTTTTTCATATTTAAACTCAATAAATTAGACACATTCAAAAAACGAAAATGTCCTAATAACCTGGTTTCAAACTCACTTTTTGAAAATACAAAGATAAAAGTTTAACTCTAAGCCCTACCGTTTATATCAGCTTGTTTGGGGGCAAGCACTGACCTCAGACTCTGTTTCCTGATCTGAAAAACCGAGCTCATAGAAACCATCCCGCAGAGTTGCTGTGAAAATTAAAATCTGTTAAAATAGTTTCCTTATCAGTATAGATATAGACGCATTCATTTGCTCATCCATGTACTCGACAGATGTTTATTGGGGCCTGCATTGTGCTGGGCACTGTTCTAGATGGGTGAGATACACCAATAAACAGAAGAGGGAAAGTCTCCTGTCTTATGGAGCTTGCATTCTGATGGGGCAGATAGTCAATAAATGATAGATATAAAAAGTAAATTATGTCGTATGGTCTAAAGTGCTAAGTAACACGGAAATGAGATGGGAGGGATGAAGCTGGTGCTGGAGCACAAGTTGTAACTTTAAACGTTAGACAAGGTGACCTTTAAACAAAAGCCTGAAGGAGCAGAGAGAGTGAATCCTAAAGCATCTGGGGAAAGGACGTTTCCAGCGGAAGAATCCGCTCCAGCACAGCTCTAAGGCTGGAGTGAAACAGTGGAAGATAAGATAGAAGGTGTTGGGGACCGAATAACCAAGAGCGTTGCAGGACATGCTCCCTGCCAGGCCAAGCTGCGGGCTCTGCAGGGTCCCAGAGTTTTATGACATGGTCCTTGACCTAAAGACAATCAAAATATAAATGAGGGGTACTTGCAATCATGTGTACGTGATTTCCTCAGATATACTGCACACTCCTTGAAGGCAAAAACTCAGTGTTCTCTATGGAATGGAGTTCCTTCCTAAAGCTCCTCAGGGACAATGGAGCGAGAGAAATTCAGAAAGACTCGTAAGCCAAACTGCTGTCTTCTCAGGTAAAGATGAGCAATTTACCAGCCACCTGCTGGAGGGAAGTTCTCATTCAAAGCATCCCCAGATCATGGCAGATGGAAAGGGATATTTTTGCAGAAGGCCTTCTTCAGATCCCGACTGCTAATGATGGTTGGCTTCATGTCTGCCTAGGGCTTTACCTGAGCAGCTGCGGGACATGCCAGTTAAGCTGCTTTAAGTTTTCCCCAAAAATCAGCACAAGTGGTGTTCCAGGGGAAAAGCCCTAGGGAAAGGAGAGAGCAGTCATTTTGAAAGGCTTGGTGCTTTTTCTCTGCCCCGTCTTCAGACAGTGAGAAGAGAGCCTTCAAATGAGTGTCTCACAGGCAGCCCCACAGAGCTCCAGCTATCTGTGCATCTTGCAAAAATAGAACAGCATCTTGTGGCTCAGGGATTTATTTCCAGAGTCTGCCTATTCCATTCTGGAGGTATAAATTGGGTTCTTTTCAGTCATGTTAAGAGGAACTTAATTGCATAATTTATTCCACACAGACTTTTCTACCTTTAACAATTCTGGCCTTGTCGAAAGCAAAAACCAATTTTACCATGATTAAGCTAATATCGTTTTTGTGCAAACACAACCCCTTTATCAGAGAAGAGCAAAGTCATTATTTCTAATACACTTTCACAACGACCTGCAATGTAGGTGGGTGGTGAGTATTATTTTTCATAACAGCTGGGAAGGGTGCATCACAGTGCACCTGAGACTGGAGCTAGTTATTCTGACTCCGCGATAATTATTTTTTCCCTTTCCTCTCCTAATTGCTCTTCTTCCCTCCCTCTTTCTGCCTTGCTATTTATAGAACAGAGTTAGTGCAACCAGTGAGTATGTAACTTGACAGGTAACTGGTGGGCACGGCGCACTCAACATGAACATAACCTAAGAATCCAGGGTTCCCTACTCCTTCTCAGAGGCCCTGTAGCATTATGAAACAACTGAGCTATCAATTAAGATTCCACAAATAATTGTCTTGGAGATGCTGCAATACAAAGCTCATGCATTGTATCAGCCAGATCGAACCATCATAGAAAATAGCCTGAGTGGCTAAGCAACAGGCATAAACTGAGTGACTTCAAAAACGGATACTTATTTTCTCAAAGCCATGGAGGCTGGAAGTCCAACATCAATCAAGGTTCCCACCCGTTTGGTTAAAGTTCTCTGGTGTCTCTTTTTTTTTTTTTTTTTTAAGACAGAGTCTTGCTCTGTCACCAGGCTGGAGTGCAGTGGCGTGATCTCGGCTCACTGCAACCTCCACCTCCTGGGTTCAAGTGATTCTTTTGCTGCAGCCTCCCAAGTAGCTGGGACTACAGGCGCACACCACCACACCCAGCTGATTTTTTGTATTTTTAGTAGAGGCAGGGTTTCACCATGTTGGCCAGGATGGTCTCGAACTCCTGACCTCAGGTGATTCACCCCCCTCCCCCCAGCCTCCCAAAGTGCTGGGATTACAGGCGTGAGCCACCACACCCAGCTCTGGTGTCTCTTCTTTTAAGGGCACTAATTCCATCATGGAAGCCCAGCCTCATGGCCTCACGTAAACCTAGCTATCTCCCAAAGGATCCTGGAAGCAGAAATACACTATGCACTGGTATCAAGTCCTAGGAGGGACTCACTGTCCACCAGGTATAAATCCCAGGGGAGGACTCAAAACACCTTTCTAGTTTCTGCTAAGGCTTCTAGATCTAGCAGGTCTCTAAACACCTTTTCAGATGATGTTTACAGTCAGAGCCTCAGTTCTGGCAAGACTCTAAATGCCTCACCAGATCTGGGAGACGGCTGTACATAAACCCATTGCCCAGAGTATGAGTCGGGTAGGACAGAATATTCATGCAGCTCATCAGGCAAAGCACATTTATCACTCACACACAGGCAGCAAGAATAATAGCAGCCTACAATCCATGGCTAGCTGTGCCCCCAAGCCTCAGGGGAGCCCCCCAGGGTGGATGCAGTAACACTTGCATGTGCCCCACTTGGACGGCAGCTGGGGGACCTGGCAGCAGATATCCATCTTCTTGTCCTGGGTTTTATACCCTGGGGAATTGGGCTCACTGAGCCAAAGCAACGCAGGACACCCTGTTCTAGGAGAAAGAAAAGAGCCCAGGCTGTTTCAGACAGTTCCTTCTCATCTCAGATGCTCATTCCACAGTTATCCTGAGAACTACAAGCAGGGTGGGGGAGAGCTGGATTAGCAAAGGCCAACCAGGAGCCCATCCTCCTGCAGACCCATCTCCAAATACCATCCCATTGGGGGTTAAGTTTTCAGTGTATGAATTAGGGAGACACAGTTCAGTCTACTGCACCCACCTACCTACTTTAGGAAGAAAACATGGAGTTGTCAACTTTATTCGGTAGTGTCACATTTAGACGTGGCTTCTCTGCCCTCCTGGGAACACTCTGCTCCTCTGGCAACATGGTGTATGGCTCAATCCACCTTCTCGCCACTGCATCCCTACTGCTCAGTCCCTCCTTTTCACGAGTGGTTGGCTGGACTTCTCTTTCATAGACACATTCGCTACTACAAGTCCAGTCACAAGGTTGAATGAGCTCAGTTTCCATGCTGATAACTCCTCCAACAGCTTGACCTCAGTTCCTTGTTCTCTTCACTCCATTTACATTTACTTGCTCTTGAACATGACTTCATCCACTGATTCTCATAGTCAAACACCAGATCAAAATTCACCTTTGCTGAAATGCCATGCTCTGGTCACACTTACCTGTCCTTCCAGCTTTGTGATGACCACACAGCTATTCATTTTTCCCAGAGGTGCCAGTCCATTTTCCACCCCATCCCTTTCTTTTAGTCCCCTTTATCTGAGCTCACTTTCCCAATCTAAGCAGGATTATGTGGCTTTTCAATTAAGACACTCTTGCTAATATTTTAAATTCCCTTGGCCTATTGTCTTTTCAGTGTATTTGTTGGTCTTTTCAATGTATTTATTCAGTGGTCTCCAGCTTCAGCTCTCTTCACTCCTATTCTTATCGGAGGTTCTACTTCCCTGAGGAAAAAGTCAGTCATTGTATGGACAGTCTTTGACCTTCTGTCCTGCCCTCTGTCAGCCAGACTTTGTACTCATAATCATTCTAGTCTGTTATCCTGTTTATCACAGAAATAATTTTAAGACATTGATATTGGGCCCGTTGCAGTGGCTCATGCCTGTAATCCCAGCACTTTGGGAGACCAAGGTGAGTGTATTGCATGAGTCCAGGAGTTCAGGACCAGCCCAGGCAACATGGCAAAACCCCATCTCTACAAAAAAATACAAAAAAAAAAAAAAATAGTTGGATGTGGTGGGTGTATCTGTGGTCCCAACTACTCAGGAGGCTGAGTGGAAGGATCACCTGAACCCAAGAGGCAGAGTTTGCAGTGAGCTATGATTGTTCCACTGCACTCCAGCCTGGGCAACAGAGTGAGATCCTGTCTCAGAAAAAAAAAAGAAAGATCAACATTACCCACACATCTTTAAATCCATGCCTCACTCTACCCTAAATCTCTGCATTTTATCAAGTTTCCTGTTGATAGGAAACATAGAAATAGTATGTGCACTGTTTCCTCATTTCCAACACAGTTTAAATAAGTTCTAATTTCTCCCACTTCACAATAAATAAAAACCCCTTCTGACTTCATGCTTTCTATAGCCACTACCCAAGCTCCCTTCTTCTGCTCTTATCTAAATGCGTTCCGAGCATCTTGCAAACTCACTGTCTCCATTTACTCACCGTGTGCTCACATGTCCATGCAGACAATTTGTGTGTCGTGGCTATTGTCTTGACCACAAGATGCAAACTGCTCTTGCCAGAGTCAGCACCAAAGACCTCTCCATCACCTTGGTGCCAGCTTCTAGCATTTTGTCTGGTGCTTAGTAAGTGTTTGATAAACATTTGCTGAAGGAATGCACATACATTGTGGAAGAGGTCCAAGTATTAAGAACAGGATATCTTTTGTGAGTAAATTCAAATATTTTTCCTTAGAAAAAGATAGATTCATATACTTGTTCAGCAGGCATTTTTTGAATCACATATTCAACACAGACTGACTGCATGCTACGTGTCAATCTCTGGTTAGATACTAGAATCATAAAATTAATAAAAACAGCCCCTGCTCACAAAGACAATGTGCTGGGAGACAGAAGCATGACAGTGGATAATATAGCAACAGTGTACTTAATGCAGTAATGGATAGACACAGAAAGTGTCATGTGTAACAGACACACACACGAAGATGCTGGGGGATAGATAAAGAGAATGTAAGTGATGAGAAGGGCTTCTAAAACGGGGAACTTCTAAAGAACCAAGTTTCTTGAGATAGTTATTCTACCTCCCCCACAAAATATAGAAGATTTGGAGGTCCCTGGTCATATCCCAAATCGCTTGAGGGATTAGAGAAAGAGCCCTCACAGACATCAAACTCTATCACGCCTTGTGTGTTCTGAACTAGTCAAATCAAATCTAATTTTTTTTTATTTATTCTTCAGGTAAAATGTGATAAAGGGGCCATTAACATTGACCATTGAAAATCAAACCTATCCTCAAAGCACAGGTGCAGAGCGGTGTAGACCCCAAAGTCTCCACATAGCCTTTTAGTTCCTTCCAATCAGCCATAATGTAACTGTGCTATATTCTGCAGTGATTTTCTTTTCCTTAAATTAAAAAAAAAAAAATGCTGTGAAAAGAAAAATTCACCAAGGATGCCAACATTCATCATGATAGGGTTTGGCAACCAGTGTAAAGCTTGAAATATATTGGTTTAGCAATTTAATTACATCTAAATAAGCCATAAGGATTATTTTTGACATCTCAAATTTTCTTTTTTGTCATTCACACTTTGAATCAGATCTTAATCTCCTGAGTTTTGCAATGGATCATAGTATCTGAAATCTCGCAGGGGACACAAAAGTTACAGCAATCTTGACACAAATCATTTTAATTTTAATTTTAAAAATAGACAAAACTCTCAGGAAAAAAGAAAAGAGGTGCCATGGAATCAAATAGCACCAGGGCATCCCCACTGTTCCTGGATGGGCATCTCTGACTTAGGAACGCTGTTCAGCACTCATGTGAGCAACCCTGGGGCACCTTTTGTGTCTATAACAGAGAACCTCCCATCCTTGAGCGTTCTGTGTTCCAAAGTGAAGGGTTTAATATGAAGTGAGCTGTTAGCTTTTCTTCAGTCTCACAGCTTTCACTGGAGTGGGCATCAGAGCTTCAGTTGAAGCTGTGACCCTAGCTGGGAAATGCACTAGCACGTTGGTGGGCAGGTGCCCAGAAGCCCAGATGCAAGAAGGATTGCAGTCTTCAGGGGCACTTGTCTCCAGAGAAGCAGCTGTGCCAGGAACCAAGCATTCAGTTGTCAGTGAGGAGGGGCCCAGTGGATGTCAACTGGTTTTTCAAATGAGCATTAAATGTGACAATATGTATAAAATAGGCATATGTTAAACCCAATAAATGTTAGCTATCTTGCTGCTTTGATACTTACTAACCATGTATAACTTACAAACACAGGGAAGTTGGAGCCCCCTCTTCATCATGGAATTTGGGGCATCCCTGGTCTCCTGGTGGCTGTGGACTTGCAAATACCCAGTTGTCCACAGACCTGTTGGCAAATGGATGTCCCAAGCGAGGGAGATATGCCTGGTGGGAAGGAGGAGTCCTGTGAAGAATAGAGCCAGCTAAACACAGCAGAGAAGCAACAGATGACAAAAAGCAACTGTCCAGAAGGCTGGCAGAACTGGGTTTGGGCCCATGCTACGCAATCCAGACATGCCTGTAGCATCCTTTGAAGGGACTCAAGTCTGTAGGCGAAAGTGTGAGTCTAGGAGCCGGTGAATTTGCATCCAGAGAGGGGGGGATCTTGGGAAACATGGAGATACCCCCATTTCTACACATTTCAGTGTAGCTAATTCAAGATTGAAAAAGTAAGAATGAAGTATATCTGATTTTTCCAGTAAAAAAAAAAAAACCATCATAGCATGTCATCTGAAACTGCTGCTACTACAGAGAGATTAGCAGGATCTCAAAGTTAGTTAAGATTGGTGGAGGGTCTCTTTACTTACGACCACAAAGCTATTTAAATGCATATGTTCATGACATACAGAAAGGTTATTTGGAACTGGTTTCAGTTGAAGGACGGCTTTTTACCTAACAGTTTAGACTCAATATTGTCACCTCACTCCCTTTTCTCTCTCTTCCCCAGTCTTCCTCCATCTCTTTTCTCATTTTCTCTGTATTTTTCTTTCTTTCTCAGTACTCTGTCTCATAAAATTGTTCAATACTTTTCCTGGATTATTTAAGAAGTTAATAAAAACTCTCTGTCTTCCCTTTAGTTATTCAAAGGCTTCTATTAAATCGTTGAAGGAAATAAAAAGAAAACTGACAATAATAAAAATTGAACATGGTAAAGTTTGCTGTTGGCTAAAAACAAGCAGAAGAATCAAATTTCAAAACAATTTTAAAGCTTCCCAGGTTACCTGAAGGAAAATAGGGCTGCCTCTTCAAAAATTATGGTTGCACAGAGCATCCATGATGCAGAAGCTCTAATCAGTAAAACTCGATATGGGCAAAAAGTGAATCAATGAATTCAACTTTTGACAAATATTTAAATGGAAAAAATCAAATAGAATAATTTCATAAAAACATGTTTTCTAAAATGGTACACAAAGTTTAGAAATGAATTAAATTGCCTTGATGGAATTCATTTTCTCTATGCAAATTTGTCAATCTTGCCAAAAATTTGACTAAAATGTGCTTACATAGAAGGAATGTTTATGAGTACAGAAACCCTGAGAAGTTATAGTCACAGGAATTGCAATACTTTTCTCTTCTTGCACTATACACACACACACAAACACACACACAGAAGTCGTTTTGTGAAAATGGAATTAAATCAATGAGGGTGACACAATACCTCCTTTGCATTTCAAGTAAGGGACTTCTCCCCATTAATGGTAGGCTAGTATTGTAGGCTAAATTGTGTCTTCTCAACATTTATATGTTGAAGATGTAACCCCCACTATCTCCAAATGTGAGTGTATTTAGAGATAGGGTCTTTAAAGAGGTAATTAAGTTAAAATAAGGCTGATGGTGTGGGCCCTAATCCAGTTTGACTAGTGTCAAATGTGGACATTCAGAGACACCAGAGCACATGCAAAAAGATGGTGCTGTGAGAACAGTGAGAAGGTGACCTGTACAGGCCACGGAGAGGGGCCTCAGAAGAAGTCAAAACTGTCAACACCTTCATCTTGGACTTCCAGCCTCCAGAGCTGTGATCAAATAAATGTCTGTTGTTTAAGCTGCCTAACTGATGGGTTTTTGTTATGGCAGCCTTAGCAAACTCATACAATTAGGTGATGTTTGCCAAGTCTCTCACCCAGACAACTGAATACAGAGAATAAAATATATTTAATGTGTTTGAAATCACTGGAGAATAACAAGGCAATGAAGATACAATCCAGAAGAATGTAAAATCCATACTTATAAACCTGACATTTGAGTACATTTTCCTCCAAGGAGTTCCTCTGATTCTCAAAAGGGGGACTGAGAAGCTTACAAGCTGAGTGAAGCTTTTGGCAACCTTATTAGGGAAGGAGAGCAAATATCAGAGTCTAGGTCTGCCAACAGGAAGAACCCTAAAAGACTAAACCCTGGAAATAAAGATAAGCCAGAAAGACGTCAGCATTCACAGGAGCCCAAGTTCAGTTTAAAATCCTATGAGTTCCATAAATGGACTACGTTGTTGCAGGAATTCTACTGCTCCTGGCCACTGCCGAAAGCAATGTGCATTCTCTTTGAAGAAAGGTAATAACATCTTATGCATTTAATTAGACGTAAAGTTTTTTCATATACAATGTCTAGCACTCAATCAAAAACAATAGAGCACATAGAAGAAAAAAATGTAAAACAATGGACAATGGAAACAGAGAGGGATTTAGATGGTGTTATCAGATATGATTTACATACTTAATAAACTTTTTTTAAAGCGTTAAGGAACTGGAAACTATAAAGAAAGAACCAAATGGAAATTCTAGAACAAGATACAATAACCAAAATTAAGAACTCACGGCCAGGCATGGTGGCTCATGCCTGTAATCCCAGCACTTTGGGAGGCTGAGGTGGGTGGATCATGAGGTCAAGAGATCAAGACCATCCTGGCCAACATGGTGAAACCCCATCTCTATTAAAAATACAAAAAGTTAGCTGGGCGTGGTGGTGCATGCCTGTAGTCCCAGCTACTTGGGAGGCTGAGGCAGGAGAATAGCTTGAACCAGGGAGTCAGATGTTGCAGTGAGCCAAGATTGCGCCACTGCACTCCAGCCTGGTGACAGAGCGAGACTCCATCTAAAAAAAAAAAAAAAGAACTCACTGGGTAAGTGTAACAGCAGCTTAGATCCGTATGGAAAGAGAATTCATGAGCTGAAAGGTAGGTCAAGAAAAAATACTACTCAGAATGAGGCATAAAGGGACAAAGGGTATTGCTTGAATCCCAGAGGAGAAGGAGAGCAAAAGAAAGACACAATTTTCTGAAAATTTTCCAAAGCAGATAGAGAACATCAAGCCACAGTGTCAGAATCAACTGCAACTAATTAAGTTAAAGAAATAAACATAATTAAGTACAGAAGCCCCCGCCTTAACCCCCCAGAGTTGTTTATCTGAAGGTTGGGAGGCTGGAACATTTGTCTGCTGTCTTTTTTTCTCCATTGATTAAGGATTCACCTAGAAAGTTGTATTAGGGTTCTCCAGAGAAACAGAACCAATAGGCTAGAGATAGAGATTTCTGGGAATTGGCTCATGCCGTTATCCTGGCCAAGAAGTCCCACAATCTGCTGTCTGTGAGTTACAGAACCATGAAAGTCGGTGGTGCAGTTCCAGTCCAAGCCCAAAGGCCGGAGAACCAAGAGCACTGACCTCCAAGAACCGAAGAGGGAGGGCCCAGCTCAAGCACACAGAGGGAGAACTCTCTCTTCTGCCACCTTTTTGTTCTATTTGGGTCCTCAATGGACTAGATGACGTCCCCCCACATAAGTGAGGGGGTCTTCTTTACTCAGTGAACTGATCTAAATACTAGTCTTTTCTGGAAACACCAGACACACCCAGAAATAACATTTTGCCAGGTATCTGAGCATCCTGTAGCCCAGTCAAGTGGGTACATTAAAATTAACCATCAAAGAATTAGATTCCCTCGGACTTCCTGTCTGTACTAGTGTGGGGCTAATGTGCTCCAGTAACATTGGAGCAGAGGCTGGAGCAGAAAGGAAAGCTGTAGCACATGTTAGAGGTGGGGTAAGATTCCTGCAGCTGAATGCATGTGGAGCTGTGTGCTACTCACATGCCTTAATTAAAATCACATGTGGCCGGGCGCGGTGGCTCACGCCTGTAATCCCAGCACTTTGGGAGGCCGAAGCAGGTGGATCACCTGAGGTCAGGAGTTCGAGACAAGCCTGGCCAACATGGCAAAACCCCGTCTCTATTAAAAATAAAAAAAAATTAGCCAGGCATGGTGGCAGTCGCCTGTAATCCCAGCTACTCAGGAGACTGAGGTAGGAGAATCACTTGAACCAGGAGGTGGAGGCTGCAGTGAGCTGAGATTGTACCACTGCACTCCAGCCTCGGCAACAGAGTGAGACTCCATCCCAAAAAAAAAAAAAAAGTAAGCTGAGGAGGTGTGATGGGAGAGGAGCAGAGGTGTTTGCTACATACCTCATTAAATAAAATACTTATTTTAAAAATGAACAAATAAGGCTTTGTAACATCGTTTTGGACCTCCATGTGTAGTCACCTCGTCACAAAGGTATGGCCTCCATTGCTTCGGATAACAGATTTCTAATAATCAATAATAACAATACAATTGTTATTGCAATGAGAGTGCTGTTTTGGACACGTGTCTAAGCATTCTAGATAGGACCAGCAAACTTGAGGAAAGTAAGTTTGATTGATTCTCTTCATCATGAGCGACGCTGTCCCCACAGGAGCTAAACGTGTCAATCGAGCCGTGGTAATCAGCATCAGAGAATGCCCACTGAGCTGCGTGGAACATTTTGGAGAACAGATGAAGGTTTCGTCCTTGCCCACCGGGAGCTTATGATCTGCAGCTTAAATTATTCCCGTTTGTTTGGCTACTCGCTGTTTCTCTGACTTTTGCCAAATTCATCTACACGTGAAGCGAATTTGAAAAATGGAGCATCCAGCGATTTCCAAACAGCTCGGGGAAAAATCCTGAGCGGGGAACGATGGACCAGGTGCCATTGCTGAACCCGCTGTAGCAACCTGCTGTGGACGGCGACACAGTCAAGCCCAGATTCCCACCCGTCAAAAGGCAAGCAGGTGCTCAGAGCCACCTGTGCTTTTTCTTTCTTTTTTCCTTCCGATAATGTAGCCAGCCAAAGTAGCTTTAAATTAGTAATGAAATCAAAAGGTTTGCAACCAAGCACCTCCTAATAAGGATGTCTCTCCGAGTCTGCCATGGTTTGCACTTGCCCCAAGTTCCACACACCCTACTTTGAAATGCTAGTTCATACGAATGTCACATCTACAAAGAGAAAAATTCAGGAAAGTGAGTTATTTTTGGAGTAAATTTTGCTCAAGAGAAAGGTTATCGTATAAAGTCTGCCCGTATCAAAGGCAAGATTCATGTTCAGACTTGGCTTTGCGTTGCGGCTGGTGGTACCAGTTACGAGGACGTCCTACTTCTGTGAAGCCTTTTTTCCTTCCTTGCTTCCTGTATCTTGCTTGCAGGCATTCATCTTACTGTGCCGAGTGCCCTAATGCTTAGCCTGCAGGAAATTCTTTCTATATTATGAACTATTTCAGTCATCAAAAAAAATAGGGCAACCTAATAAACACACAATCCGGTGCTTAAAACATCAGTCATGTTTTAAAATCATTACAACAATATTTTGCATCATCACCCATTCTTATTAAAGAAATAAATCAGTGTAGTTACAATTCAAATCTCCCATATGTATCTCCCTGATTCTTTCATTTTATCCTTCCTCAAAGATATGTATTGTCATGGCTTTGGTATTTCATTAGCTCCACCAATGCACTGAGGTTTTTACCGTGTATGAAAGTACATATCTCTGAATAGTAAATTAAACTCTACATATGGCATAATTCTAAAAATGTAATTTTATGTCTTGTATTTTTCATTCAACATTTACTGTGATTTATGCATATTAATATGTTAAACTCTCATTCACTCATTTTAACTACTGAAAAAAAATCCATCATATAAAAATGCCAAAATGAAGGTACCCATTCTGCTGCCCAAGGATGCTTGAGCTATTCCCAGCACCTCTCCATGACAAGGAGGGCTACAGCAAATGTTATTCCATGCATCTCATCGTGCACCTGCATGAGAGTTTTTCCAGGGGACATAACATACCTAGAAGTGCAATTTGGGGTCATGAAGTGTGCACCTTCTCTGTTTAAATATTGCCAAATTGATCGCCAAAGAAGTGGTATGATCTCATGGTAAGCTCTTGATAAATATTTGTTAGGCAGACCTAATGTATCTCGGGAAAGCAAACACCTCCACCTCCAGCCTAGCTAGGTCATATCTGGGCAGGTAGCAATCAAAACTTCATCAATAATCTTTGCAGCAGACCTCTGCCCACAAAAGAAGACCCTGACATGAAGCTAGAAATACTTAAGATTTCGTGCGATGGAGTGTTTAATCCCAGCTTACCTGATATGGCAGACAAGTGATTAACCAGCTGATGTATATCAAAAACCAATCTATCTGAAAGTCAGCCCACTGTGTTACATAATTGGGCTGCATTCTGTAACGTTTAATTAGATTGTCGCTGGCCAGCCCCTAGAGTTTTATTAATTTAATGACATTGAAATTAGATGGTCCTAGTCTTGTTGTGAAAACACTTCTGCCTGTCTTTGAGCAAGAGCATCTGTGCTCTTGAGTGCTGCCCAGGAGACCGGCCTTGCTACCCAGACCTCCCAGGATGAGAACCCTCACCCCAAGAGCAAGCCACATGGGAATGATGGGCAGATGCCCAGAGGGAGTGAGGAAGAGATGTCACCCTGACACCTTACGATCAGGTGCAGAGGCCTGTGACACAGCAGACTGGGGTTACCTTCTGCAGCAAACGTGAGCCCCACACTTGCTACTGTCCATGCAGCCTAGAGCAGCGTGGGTCACCTCTCCTGGCCTCCGTGTCCTCATCTGTAAAAGGGGGATCGTAATAATACCTACTTCATGGGTGCATTGTGAGAACCAAAGGAGTCAATGCTTACAACAGTGCCTGGCGTGTGGCAAGTGCTACCCCAGCGTCTGCTCTGACCATCCCTTTGTGTTACCAGGAAGGTGAGGTGTGTGAAAAGCAGCATGTTCTTATACCACAGGTGTGGAATTAGAAGTGCATGGAGCAGATCAAAGCAAAGCTTCCCCCACACTCCGTTTTACTCATGTAGAGGAAGGACAGGGAACCCCCAGTGCCCCCGCGCCCCCCTCCCCCATCTCTCCAACAGTCAGGCAGAAATACCCACCCACTTTGTGAGGTCCCCCTAGAGCTTCGGGCTTCACGGACGCCTTTCCCTGTGACCCATCGCCCCTAACATTGGCCATACCTTTCTTGGCTCCTGGCTAGATAAGAAGTTACACTTGTTCAGAGCTTTGCAAACATGAAAACCCTTTTTATATGTTTTATGCTTTGTGCTTGATCTTTTTCACCTACGATGTTACAATGTTACAATCCATTTCAAATCTTTACAGGGAGGCTGAATAAGAATTGTCTGCTGCATTTCTGAACAGTCTTATTTCCCATTTCCACCTCTGCTGTCTGGAAGAATGACTTTTTTTTTTTTTTTTGAGACAGGGTCTCACTCTATTGCTCAGACTGGAGTACAGTGGCACAATCACAGCTCACTGCAGCCTCAACCTGCCAGGCCCATTCCATGCTCCCACCTCAGCCTCTCAAAAAGATGGGACTGCAGGTGTGTGCCACCATGCCTGGCTAATTTTTTTTTGTATGTTTTGTTGTTGTTGTTGTTGTTGTTGTTGTTGTAGAGATGGGATCTTGCTATGTTGCCCAGGCTGGTTTGAACTCCTGGGCTCAAGAGATCCACTGGCCTCCCAAAGTGCTGAGATTACAGGGGTGAGCCACTGCCCCTGGTCTAGAGGAATGACAGTTTGATGGGAGAGTCAGGTGCCCCTAATAGCTCAAATGACCTCTTTAGTCTTCAGCCTTCCAGTGTGGAGAATGGCATAAGGAATCTCACTCAACAGCTCGGCATGAGCATCCAAGATATTCACGACTATCAAGACCACATGAGCCTTTTGTGTGGTAGGTGTCCCCCGCCCACGTCCTATTCTTGCTGCCTCCTGTCTTGCAGGCTTCTTACCTCTCCAAATCCCCTTCTAGGCAGCAAAATCGCCTGAACAGCCACGGAGCCCAGCCTCACCTTAGCCATGCAGAAAAACCGCTGCAGATATACGTTTGCTCTTCTTCACTTTCTTCCTTTCTCTCTCTGTATTAGTCCATACTTGGATTGCTATTAAAAAAAAAAAAAAACCTGAAACTGGGTAGTTGATAAAGAAAAGAGGTTGAATTGGCTGATGGTTCCCCATGCTATACGGGAAGCATGGCAGCTTCTGCTTCTGGAGAGGCTTCAAGGAGCTTTTACCCCTGGCAGAAGGCGAAGCCGGAGCAGGTGTCTGTCATGGCAGGAGCAGGACCCAGAGAGAGCGAGGGGGACATGCTCAGACTTTTCAACAGCCAGATCTCGTCATGACTCACCATCAGAGCAGCACCATGGGGACGGTGCCAAACCATTCATGAAGGACCCACTCTCCGATCCAATCACCTCCCACCAGGCCCCACCTCCAACACTGGAATTACAATTCAACATGAGATTTGGGTGGGGAAAAGATCCACACCATATCACTCCCCCTCCCTCCTTCCACAAATAAGAAATGTTTATTACTTACTTAATTTTTGTTTGGGATTCAGCGAGTCCACGTGCAGCTTTTTTACACGAGTATATTGCATGATGCTGAGGTTTGGGCTCAGGTGAACCCTCCTCCAAATAGTGAACATAGCAACAGATTGTTTTCGACCCTTGTCTTCCTCCCTCTTTGAGAGTTGCCAGCTTTGTGCTCACATGTATCCAATGTTAGCACCTCTAACATGTTTCTCTGAGTTGCCAAGCTGAGGACACAGGGTGCCGAGGCCACTCCACGCGCCGGCCTCAGGCCTGACCTCGGCAGCATCTGGAGGAAGAACGGGTTTGAAGGATGCTGAGGGCTCGTGTGGCTCTGTTCTGGACACTAAGAGAGTGTGTGTCTGAGGGCGCCGAGAAGGAGGGACTTGGGGAACAGCTCCATGGAGCGAGTCTGTTTAGAAAAAGAACTCTCTTGGCCAGGCGCAGTGGCTCACACCTGTAATCGTAGCATTTTGGGAGGCAGAGGTGGGCGGATTGCCTGAGCTCAGGAGTTCAAGACCAACATGGCGAAACCCCGTGTCTACTAAAATACAAAAAAATAGCTGGGTGTGGTGGTGCATGCATGTGGTCCCAGCTACTCGGGAGGCTGAGAGAGGAAACCTCAATTGCTTGAATTGCTTGAACCTGGGAGGCAGAGGCTGCAGTGAGCCGAGATCATGCCACTGTACTCCAGCCTGGGCAACAGAGCAAGACTCTGTCTCAAAAAAAAAAAAAAAAAAAGAAAGAAAGAAAAAGGAAAAGACCTCCCTCCACACCGTATACTTCTCAGGGGGCAGCGTGGATGACAGAGACGTCATCCTTGGATCTCCAGGGCACACACCCCATCATCTGTTCCTAAGATGCTTCTGTCGCCCTTTGGCTGCATTCGCCGTTGGGTGGGAGCAATCACACCTCTAACGTGGCTGCAGGTGTCACCTGCATCGCAAGCACATCCTCACTCCTGGCATCTCTTTCTGTGTTTAAGTTTCCTCCAGGAATGTGGAGGAAATTGACTGACTTTCTCGCTTCCTAATTTTCTCAACTGGACACATTACCGGGTGTCACACAGGGTAGTGGTCATGAGTCATGCTCACGAAGGGCCTTCGATGGAAGGAACTCTTTTCATACGCATGTCTCATCTCTCGCTCTTTCAGATTCCTTGTGAGAGACTTCATGTAGAAAGGATAGATATAAATATTCTTGAGGGCTCTGATGTTGTACGAATACTGATCTATCGCTTTGTTAATGATACCAGGGTTCATGATTTCCATCCTGTTCTCCTGACTCACTGCATCCTGGTGCCCAGCCCCAGGGCTATTGAAGGGATACTTATCTTTCAAATTAGCACCTTGTAAATGAAAGGGGAGGCTCATGCGTCTCAGTTGTGCCTGCCAGGTGTGGTCAGCATTCTCGATTGAAAACAAATGCTGCCTTCTAGACAGATGGCGGCACCCAGGGAGGGGTGGGAGAACAGGAGCCCTGGCTTTTAAGAATGTCAGGGTGCAGTTCTGAAAATGTTGAGGGTCTGATCTTTACTGAATGGCAAAGAAACGCTCCCTGAGAACTGCTGTAAGAAGAGCTTCCATTCCCTTATCCTCGTTGATGCCAGGTCTGGAGAGAACAGATTCCTGTTTTCACTCACAGCAGGTGTCCCCAGTGGAATCAAATGAACTTGCCGCCATTACTCACTCGGACACTTCATAAATGGAACAATTAAAACCCAAATAGCATACAGCATGCTTCTATTTTGTTCACAAACTTTAGAAAACCCTGCTTGAAAACTTACAGTTCTGTTAATATATCTGGAGAATACATAAGACTGAACGTCATGTGGCTGCTCAAACAACGATTTTATTTGCCTTTGTTGTGTTTGTTTGTTTTGTGAGACAGAGTCTCACTCTGTCGGCCAGGCTGGAGCACAGCGGTGGGATCTCGGCTCACTGCAACCTCCGCCTCCTGGCGGGAATCAAGTGATTCCCCTGCCTCAGGCTCACGGGTAGCTGGAACTACAGGCACCTGCCACCACACCCAGCTAATTTTTGTATTTTTAATAGAGACAGCGTTTCTCCATGTTGGCCAGGACGGTCTTGAACTCCTGACCTCAGGTGATCCACCCACCTCAGCCTCCCAAAGTGCTGGGATTACAGCCCTGAGCCACCGTGCCTGGCCTGTCTTCATTGCCTTTGAAAAGCCCCAGATCCAGCCTTCTAGCACAAGAAGGTAAGGAGGACGCTGCCCGTGAAATCCAGCCCTTTTGACTTCTTGTTTAACTCCCAGAGTTTCTTATAAGACCTCCTCAACTGCTTGGCAATTGTGAATTGTTCTTTTTAGTTAAGGCCTCTCCTTTCATGTCGTTCTTTTGTTTTTGTTTTTCAAAATTATAAATGAATGTTTCCCCTTTGAGGAACCATGACAAATATGCCTGACACCTGGACACACGGTTTCTATGAGGAATGGCCTTGCACCTGCAGCCGCTCTGTGACTCGCTGTCCTCGGGTCCCTGGAAAGGACAAGCACTGCTCATGCCTGTGTTTTCAGGGACCTCAGCATTGCAGCCTCAACACCCCACACGGGCGTGGTGAATGGCTGTTCTTTCCTCTTTCTTTTCTGGAAACATCTGTGGTCAATTTTTTTTGGTGGCAGAAACCTTCATTTTGTGATTAACAACTCTGAGGCAGTAAAGGATTTGGAAGGAAGATCTGTTCAGGATTTAAAGGACAATGTACAATATCATGTTACTGGAGAGTCCGTTGTGGCCCGTCGTTTTGTAAATAGGACTTGAGTTTTGCTTTTTTGGCTCTGTCTTTCGCCTTTCAGCAAGCCTCTCACTTTCTGTCTTCCATGAGTCATTGCAGCAAGAAAAATGTTACCCTTAAAATGCCCTCTTTTCTGAATTTTTTTTGTACTACAGTTAAGGGAGCTGCTTTCTTCTCTTGTTCGCAATGTCCAAAAGGAAAAGTCAGCACAGCAAAATGGCATTGAAACGCCTCCGCCTCTTGATTTGCTGCCATTCCCCTTTATTCTGGGAGGGCTGGCAGAGCTGGAATGTCACCAGGTCCCCACTTGTCCTCGTGGTTGCCGGTGGGTCTCCAGCAGCATGCCAGCGAGCTTCCAAAGTGCCCGCCTAGAGGGCCAGGTTTCCTCATGTCTCAGCCTCCTCCCTTGCTGTGCGTAGCCAGCGTCGGCAGCCACAGAGGCAGCTGCTTCACTCACTCCTGCACTGGAGGGGAGGCAGAGGATGTTCCCTGGAGCCACCCAGCCAAGTGTGGCGGGTCATGGCGCAGCCCCCCAACTTCCCACCTGGCCAGCATTCCTCTCCACTTCCCACTCTAAATTAGACTCCCCTCACTAGGGAGGAAGACAGGACACATTGGGAAGGGGCCCCAGGGCAGAGATGACTCGGGCCTGCCTCTCCCACCCTCCGGAGTCACGGTTCTCTGATGCCAGGACAGATGAGCTCCAGCTCTCTCTCCCATCTTCAAGGAGCATCTGAAACAAACAGGAACTTAGATGGGTTTCTTTATGCTTTCTTGTGACATTGAAACACCCTGCAGAATGCATGTGGTAGATCAAGACTGTAAATGAGTTTCTTCTGCAGTATCTTCCTTTCGAATGTATGTGGGTCTTTGTGTGAGTGTGTATCACAGACATCATTAGTGAGAAAAGCTTTGGAGAGCTCATCACAGCTAGTTCTTTTCCCCCAGCATGCAAAATAGATCACTGAGCCAGCTGTTTATGGGAAATAATTATTACTCCCTGACAGCACCTAGGATTACAGGGAGAAAACTTTTAAGAAGAAGGCACCCAATTTCAGAAGATTTTGCTGATTAATTTTCTCACCACTTCCATTCAGTCTGCTTGCTTGCTCCAAAAATGGGTTTCTAAACTGGAAAAAAAAAAAAAAAAAAAAAGAGTGAATACATAACAGAGCATGTTTCCCAGGCAGCATTTTGTAACAGAACAATCATTTCCAAATGTCTCCTCTCCAGTTATAACGTCTTGAACCCTCTGCCACTCAGCCCCTTCAATGTGAAAGGGCTTCAGGCCTTCACCCGATCACATCTTTTGAATAGTAAACACAGAGACTGATGTGTGTCAAGGAAAGCACACTGAGAAATGTCCTTTCCCCCAGATTGCAGAGTAGAAAAGCAGTAACTGTGATTTATGTTGCTATTGTTCACAGTGCGCTCCCTGTTTATAGTTCATTGCATAGAAACAACCCGTCATTTACCAGAGAGGCATGTGAAGATGCGTTCATCCAAAGGAATGTTCCCTAAAAACAGTCTGTGCCTCCAGTGCCCCACCCCAGCACAAGAACGTGCACACACACACACACACACACACACACACACGTCAAGTCGAATACCATCTTGAATGAGCAAAAATAGCGTCCACCTCCAGGAGATATTCACATTTTCTCAGTGAGCTTTCTCAAGCCAAGCCTTAAATTGAGCTTGGAATTTCCTGGAGCCCTGGAAAGGCACTGGCCTTCGATTTAGCTCCACTGACCTTTGTTTAAGACATCTTCCCAGAGTCCCAGTTTCCTCATCTCTGAATTGGGACGATATAATCTGTGTACCTCTCACTTGGTGAGGTTCTCATGAGGAATAAAGGAGATGATGGCTTTAAAGTTCCTTTGATAACTTTTACGTTGTATTTAAATATTGGAGGTTTACGGTTTTTTAGAAACATTTGAAGCAGCATCTTCAATTGGAAGTATCTTCATTTGAAGTAGGGATATCTTATTTTTGACAATCCATGTACTAAGACGTTAAAATAACTTACATTACAATAATTAATCCACTTCTGTTTATTCCCTATCTGAATAGTAATTGCATCTTTACCAGCTGATGTGAAGCAAACTGTATGCCATTTGTCTTTACTTGGCAATAATCATAACTTATACATAAGAGGTCTTACTACTCGATAGACATCCTAAGTGTTTTCACAGATTCCCTCATCTGATCCTCTCAAATCTTATCAATACCATTCACAGATTCACTCCTTTGATCCTCCTCATATCCTAGAAATACCATTCTTCCTCTTTTGCAGCTGGAGAAGTCAAAGCTCAGGGAAATGAAGTAGGTTGTTCATGGTTCACAGGTAGTAAGTGACAAAGCCAGAGTCTGAATTCTGTTTTTTTTTTTTTTTTTTTTTTTTTTGAGACGGAGTCTTGCTCTGTTGCCCAGGCTAGAGTGCAGTGGCATGATCTCGGCTCACTGCAACCTCCATCTCCAGGGTTCAAGTGATTATCCTGCCTCAGCCTCCCAAGTAGCTGAGATTACAGGCACGTGCCACCACAACTGGCTCATTTTTTATATTTTTAGTAGGGATGGGGTTTCACCATGTTGGTCAGGCTCGAACTCCTGACCTTGTGATCCACCTGCCTTGACCTCCCAAAGTGCTGGGATTACAGGCGTGAGCCACCACGCCCAACCCCAGAATCTGAATTTATAACCAAATGCTGTGGGCATCCATCATCTTATTCTCTAGTATCAAAGGAAATCTGAATGAGTGTGGGAATTTCCAAATTGCCTTATAATTACTCAAATTAATTTACTGCTTGTAACAACTTTCTCAAAAGAAAAGCAGGTAGTGTTATTCTATTTTAGAAAAAAAAAACCTTAAAAATGAGATCATATGTCCAAAGTAATCCACTAGTAGCCCTGAGATTAAAACCGCTGCCTCTGATGCTTTGGTTTGCGGACAATGACCCACTGCAATGGTGAATTATGTGCCACCTTATTGTAAGTGGTAGAACAGAGAATTGGGGTTTCCAGGAAGATGGCCTAGCTCAGAGCTCATGCCTGAGGCCCCACCTGCCCCTGGGCTAGTGGGTGCTCCATGCCAGGCACCTGGGTAGACTTGAGCTGCTGTGTTCTGCTCAGACTATACAACTGTATCAGTTGGAATTGACTCAGGAAAACTGACCTTGTACAGAGGAAGGGGTTTCATACAGGAAAACAGGGCTTACCCCGCTGTTGGAGGGCCAGCCCTGAGGCCAGAAAGGGACCTTTCTGATCTGCACATGTGGAGGCCACAGAGAGGCTTCATCTCAGGAAAGGGCCCAATGGCCTTGGACAAAGCTCCACGTGCCTCATCTGCTGAGACCCTATATCTGCTAAGGTCTCACACCTGCTGAGACCCCACGCCTGCCGAGGTCCCACGCCTGCCGAGACCCCACGCCTGCCGAGACCCCACGCCTGCCGAGACCCCAGGCCTGCCGAGACCCCACGCCTGCTGAGATTCCACACCTGCTGAGACCGCATGCCTGCTGAGGTCCCACACCTGCTGAGGTCCCACATCTACTGAGGCCCATCCCTGCTGTGGCTGCATAGCTGCCTGCATCCACCCCAGAGCCTGTGGCTTCTCCCTTCTTCCTGCCTAAGTGGGTCTGGAGACAGGGGTGTGGACAAGGCCCTGGGTTCTGAGTCCCGCCCTCAGGCCTGGGAGTGGGGACAGGTGGCACCTGTGTCAACACCAGCAGGCAGGAACCTGGGTTCACCTTTGGGACCCCCTGCCCACCCCAGGTGAGGGCCAGCACATGGCAGCCTGGCCTCCCAGGACTCAGGTCCTGCCTGGGGAGAATCCGCACGCGTGGTGTACTGCCATTGCCTCCAGATGCCCAGCCACATAGCTGGAAAGAAAGGAGCAACGATTTAAAATAATCACAGTGAAAACTCATTGAAAAAAATGCTGTTCACTGTGGACGGCCACATATAGACTGCAAGCTAGACCATAGATTCTGGTTATATTCTGTGAATATTTATTGCACTTTCTAAATGCCAGGCAAGTTTCTAAGCACTGAGCATACATTCCAAGAAGATATTCTAGAAATCCCCACCTTCTGGAAGTCACCTTCCACCAGAGGCCGTCAGATAATCAGAAAATAAATATATAAAATGTCAGGTGGGATGTGTCCTAGGGGAAGATGAATCAGGAGAATGGTAGGATGAGGCAGGAGGTAGGAGAGGTTGGCGGGGGCGGTGATGCCTTACGGGAGGGCAGCATGACATTTGAGGAGTGGCGCAAGGAAGGACACAGGCCTGTGGATGTGCGATGGAGGACGTCCCCTGCAGAGGGAGTGGCTGGAAAAAGCTGGTGGGGACAGAGCCGGTAGACGGTGGGGTGGGGCTGGTGGGACTCGCCACTGGAATGCTTGCAGACTGTGACACAGGTTTTGTGTTTTGCTTGGAGTGAGGTGGGAAGGCACCAAGAAGATCTGAGAGGAGAAGCGAGGGAATCTGACCAGAGATTTAAAAGGATTGTGCCTATGGGGCGCCGTGGCTCACACCTGCAATCCAACACCCTAGGAGGCTGAGGAGGGAGGATCACTTGAGCTGGGGAGGTCGAGGCTTCCATGAGCCCTGTTCATGCCACTGCACTTCAGCCTGGGTGACAGAGCAAGACCCCGTCTCTAAAAAACAAAGCAAAATGAGTAAAAAAGAAAGGATCGCAGGGATGATTGTGTTGACAACAGAACCCAGCAGCTGCCTCTAGAAGGGCCCTGTGTTGGGCTCGGTGCTCTCCTGGGCAACCCTGAAATCCTTAGTCATTTTTTAAGGAGAGGCTGGTGTTAGTGCCCAGGGCTATAGACCAGGCGGCTTCCCCAGAAGACACTCATTCTTTCCTTCTCGGGGGGGCTGGATCTGAGGTCAGGGTGTCCGTGTGCAGGGGCTGCCTTCTCACTGTGTCCTCACAGGGCCATCCCTCTGTGTGCATCTGGGTCTTAACTGCCTCTTTTTATAAGGATGCCAGTCCTGCTGGGTGAGGACCTACCCATGCGGCCTTATTTTACCCAAATCACATCTGTAAATGCCCGGTCTCCAGACGCAGCTACATCTCGCAGCCCTGGGAACAGGCCTCTGTGTATGAATTTTGGGGGACACCACTCAGCCTGACGATCCCTCTGTTCTGAGTATTTGGGCCTGGGCAACTGGAAGAGGGGGGACCCTGGTTATTAACTTGGGGAGACCAAGTCCAGCTTTCCTGGATGGAGGGGAAAAATGGGAGTTTCTCCCCTCTGAGTCCGAAACAAAATTGTGCAGTTGTCTAGTGGAAAACGGACACAGGTGTGCTGTTCAGGGGAGCAGGGGAGACGGGGACGTGACCTGGGCGTAGACTTTAATGGAAGCCCTCTCGGTGGTGGAGCATGGAGAAGCCTCGGTGTCAGAGCATGAGGAGGAGCAAGGTGAGTAGCATGTGTGCAGAGGGTGCACCTGCTGAAGAAACCAGGGACTGCTGTGTCCCCGACACCAAGCAAAGGAAGGTGTTAACAGAGGGGCCTGAGGTTGACGGTGGCCGTGGGGGCCTAGGGGACTAGGATGGGGACTGTCCCCTGGATCTGGCTCTGATGGTCAGTGCAGGGGCAGCGTCCGCCTGGACGGGAGAAAGAGCCCAGAGGGGAGGAGGGGAGGAAGGCTCAGGCCGCAGCTGCTCATCTCAGCAGGTCTTTCCTCCAAACTCCTCCTGGCTCACAGACTCTCAGGAAATCACACCAGAAAGCAAAGGAGAGTGCCATTACTCTGGAGGCCATTTGATTAAGCCCACTCTAATTGTTTGTTAGTTCCCAAACAGCAAATTTTTGTATTTTCATTATTAGTAGTTAAAAATTACTTGGATACTCCACGGTTGGCAGAGTTATGCAGACGGTCTCACCTGCGGGCTGCACGCAGCCGCTCCGTGGCGCACACATGTTCTGCCGAAGTCCACGTTTCCGTGCAGCCCTCACCACCTGGACGCCAGGGCGGCGCGGGGGAGCCCTCACCTCACGCCTCACCCGGTGTGGACGTGGCACCTGCTCGCTGCCCCTCCCCTCTGAGCAGCTCCGTCTGCACACTGCGTAAGTTTGGCTGCAAGGCAACAAGGAAACTAAGCTGGAGTCCGGCGTGGCATGTTGCCAGGGCCACCGGCAGGACAAGGAGCAATAAAAGTTGAATTTTAAAAAACAGATAAATAATGTATGTGTAGAAAAAGGAAGAAACCAGGTACAGAAGTGCACGTAGGTACCGTATCCACAGATTGAACACACATGTGTGCAAATACGTATCCCCACACACGTGCACACACACATACATACACACACACATACATACACACACACACACACACACACGTAGCTGTCATGTAGAAGCCACTGTTTTTTCAGCTCCATTTGTGACTTTTATCATAACACACTGCCCTCCAGCGCAGCAATGCCAGGTCTCTTATAAATATTTATGGCAACCTTTAGCTCTTCGGAAAGCAGCTCCTTCTGCCATGTGAGGCGCTGCTCTGAGAGGTGACAGGGGTCCCAGGCTTCTCCGCTCTGCCGTGGCTCACAGGCTGTGGCACCTCTCCATGGACCAGCTCCGGTGGGACGGGTCCTCTAGTTCACTGCCAGCAGGGTGACGGCGGAAACCCTGAATGCAGCGATTTTGAGAAGCAAAATCGGCTGTCGTGTGTTTCTTTTAGGAACTGCATCGGTGCGGTTGTGATGAAACCATTTCGCATTTACTGAGTGTGCACGCACTCAATTACAACACGAACATGTGAAACCAGAACAACGCACAGGAGGAAGGTTGGACATCAGAACTCTCTGTACCTGCTCTGCAATTTTTCTGCAAATCTAAACTTGCTCTGAAAAACAACATCCATTTTATTTATTGATCGATTTGATTTTTCTGTAGATACGGTGTTTCGTCCTGTTGCCCAGGCTGGTCTTCTAGGCTCAGCCATCTGCCCAGCTCAGCCTCCCCAAGTGCTGGGATTATGGGAGTGAGCCACCTCGCCCAGCCTAAAATCCATTTTAAAAAAACATGAGAAATGATTTGCATTTGGGACTGAAGAAGAATGAAAGGCACCTGTAGTTTTGACGCCAAGAAAGCCTAGTTATACCTTTATTTTATTAACCTACTATTCACCAGGTTTCTGAGTGTGGTTTCTCAGTGTGACCCTAACCCGTCTTAGGAGAGGCGGTGCTAGGAACTGCTATAGGGGGGCACAGCAGGTGGTCCCTAAAGTTGTGATGCTCAAGAGATTCACAGAATATCTGAAGAAAAAAGACACGTTTGTTTTTGCATTTTCTGTGGTTTTGCTGTTGTTGTTCATCACAAAGTTTGCAGGTTTGCTACAATTGTGAACATTCAGAACAAAACACAGAATAAGATAAAAATCATCAGCTATGCAATTGTTTGTTTTTTAAATACACATTCTCAAGATTTTGGTGTTGCTTTTTCTCAGGATTTTTCTCTGGGAACATGTTTATCTTTTCCTGTAGCTGGAATGACACTCAATTTTTAGTTTGGGTTTCTTCTTTTATTCATCATTATCCTGTGGCAAGTGTTTCCCCAGGGTATGAAATATTATTAAAAGTACAGACTTTAAGGGCTGTTTTGCTGTTTATCACGTGTATCATAATGTATTTAATGCTCCCCATCTTTTTTTGAATATTTAAGTAGCTTTCTGGGTTGAAATCTTGTAAATTACACTGCAATAAATGTGTTTATCATTGGTGCACATATCTCTACATTTCTAAAGGCTGAAATTATTGGGTCAAAGGTGAATTTTTAATGCTCTTGATAAATATTGCCAAACTGATCCCTTGACAGATTTTGATGCTATACCACCAACATTGTTTTTAGAGACAGCGTCTCGCCTTGTTGCCCCGGCTGGAGTGTAGTGGCAATCAGAGCTCATATCATGTCCTGGACTCAAGCACTACTCCTGCCTCAGCCTAACACGTGGCTGGGACTGCAGGTGTGTCCCACCACACCTGCCTAATTTTTGTATTTTTTTTGTAGTGAAAGGATCTTTCTATGTTGCACAGACTAGTCTCGAACTCTAGCCTTAAGAAATCTGGCTGGGCATGGTGGCTCACGCCTGTAATCCCAGCACTTTGGGAAGCCAAGGAGGGCAGATCACGAGGTCAGCAGATCAAGACCATCCTGGCTAACATGGTGAAACCCCGTCTCTACTAAAAATACAAAAAAAATTAGCCGGGAGTGGTGGCAGACACCTGTAGTCCCAGCTACTCGGGAGGCTGAGGCAGGAGAATGGCGTGAACCCAGGAGGCGGAGCTTGCAGTGAGCAGAAATCACGCCACTGCACTCCAGCCTGGGAGACAGAGGGAGACTCTGTCTTAAAAAAAAATAAATAAATAAGAAATCCTCTTGCCTCAGTCTCCCAAAATTCTGGGATTACAGATGTAAGCCAGCACACCCAGCCACATTTAACAATTTAACAAATGAATATTAATAGCTCATCTTTGTTTATATTTGAATATCTTTGATTATTATTGAGGTTAGGTATGTTTCCACTGGAGGTCTGACCACTTGCAATTCTTTCATTAATTGTCTATTATGACAATTCTTGACAATTTTCCCATATATCTATTGAAACATTATTTTCTGTCGTTTCGACTTGGCAATAGTTCTTTACACACTATGCTAATTTTCATCTCTCTTTTCCACTCTGATTTTAATTACCATGGTAACCTGGTTGTTTATAAATTTGCAAATAGAACTGATTTTAAAAACCTGTTCAAGGAAGGAATCTTGAAGGTCATCAAATATTTTCATTTGTATATTTTTTTTTTTTTTGAGATGGAGTTTCGCTCTTGTTGCCCAGTCTGGAGTGCAATGGCACAATCTCACCGCACTGCAGCCTCTGCCTCCTGGGTTCAGCGATTCTCCTGCCTCATCCTACCAAGTAGCTGGGATTACAGGCACGTGCCACCACACCTAGCTAATTTTTGTAATTTTAGTAGAGAGGGGGTTTCACCACGTTGGTCAGGCTGGTCTTGAACTCCTGACCTCAGGTAATCCACCTGCCTCAGCCTTCCAAAGTGCTGGGATTACAGGTGTAAGCCGCTGCACCCAGCCCATTTTTATAAATTAAAACATTTATTTTAGGGACTTCAAATTATTTCTTCACATTTTAACAGTCAAGTAGTAACTGACTGAGACTGGAAGTCACAGCTCTTGGCCACCAACTCAGCGTTCTTCAGTCATATGTGAACCCTGAGGACTGGCTACTTACAGGCCCCAGGCTGAGCAGCTCACGTACACCTTCCTGCTCAGCTCCGAGATAGGCATTATCCTTACTCTATAGAAAAGATAAATATACTGCCCTCAGTTTTCTAGGCAGTAAATGGGAAAGGCATTTCATTGCCAGTCTGTCTTATCCGAAGCCCATTGATTTTTAACAAATACTCCCACCAATGTTTAGAGAACTTCAGGTAATTATTTCTTTATATCTCTAATCCTCAGTTTTCTCATCTAAAAAATAGACCAAAAATAAAAATAACTAAACCCCTTTCTTTAGATGATTGCTGTGAAGACGCACGGGTGCTATGGAGGCAGATGTGAGTAGGTCTGCAACGATGGCACCAACAACCCCCTCCAGCACCTGAACACCCCTCTTTCCACCGGCGGTGGAGTCTGTTTCCCCGCCTTGAACCCCGGCTCACTTGGTGATTTGGTTTGACCAATGGAGGCAGTAGAGGTTGTCCTATGCCAATTTTGGGCCAAGCCCATAAGAGATCCAGCAAGTATTTACTCTCTTGGGGCCCTCAGAGCCATGTAGAAAAAGCTATCTGGTCTGTCAGAGGAACGGGGACATGCGGAGAAGAACTGAGGGACCCCTGCTGGGGCCCCAACACGCAAGGCCGGCAGAAGGACCACTGTCCACCCACCCACATACTCAAGAGACTCGATGAACTCTTGCTTGAGTTCTTTAAGTTTGGGAGATTCCGTGTGTGCGTGAAAGGCAAGACGACTGATATCTGTCTCCAGAGGTTTGCCAGGCATTCAGTGAATGTCAGTGCCCTTCACGTCCCCTTCCCCGCCATTCTTAGGAAGACTGGACCCTACTAAGGGTATGCTGGGCTCTGCCTTGTACTCCCAGGGACTAGCATTGCCCCTACCACAAGATGTTCGAGGAAAAGCAATTCAGATCTCTCTATAAGAAGAACTAAGCGTTAGGATTTGTTTAAGCTTTTAGACCTGGTTTCAATCAACTAAGGTTTGAGAAATTATGGTGACACAGCAGACTTGTCCCAACATAACTTTAAGTATGACATCTCCATTAATTACATTGTAAATCTAACATTTTATGTAATGCTCACCACAATTTTTTTTTTTTTTTTTTGAGACAGAGTCTCACTCTGTCACCAAGGCTGGAGTGCAGTGGCACAATCTCGGTTCACTGCAAACTCCGCCTCCTGGGTTCAAGCAACTCCGGAGTAGCTGGGATTACAGGCACGCACCAGCACACCTGGCTACCACAAATATTTTTATTTGGGTTCCTGTGTGGTGGCTCATGCCTGTGATCCCAATGTTCGAGAGGCTGAGGTGGGTGGATGGCTTGAGGCCGGGAGTTCAAGACCAGCCTGGGCAACATAACAAGACCTCATTCTCTATGAAAAAAAAATTTAAAAATACAAAATTAGCCAGATATGGTGATGTGTACCTGTGGTCCCAGCTACTCAGGAGGCTGAGGCAGGAGGATCACTTGAGCGCAGGATATCAAGGCTGCAGTTAGCTATGATTGTGCCACTGCACTTCAGCCTGGGCTACAAAGCCAGACCTTGTCAAAAAAGAAAGAAAGAAGGAAAGAAGGAAGGAAGGAAGGAAAGAAAGAAAGAAAGAGGAAAGGAGAGGAAAGGAGGGAGGAAAGGAGAGGAAAGGAGGGAGGAAAGGAGAGGAAAGGAGGAAGGAAAGAAGGAAGGAAGGAAGGAAGAAAGGAAGGAAGGAAGGAAGGAAGGAAATAATTTAAAGCTATTATAAAACAAATCCCAGGCCAATCTTTACATCCATAGTGTCAAATAGACTTTCTGTGTTGCTTTCTCAATTACCTACTGAATGGGTGTGTGTTGATGAAGGGTTAACTCTTTGAGAACAAGGGCATGCATCATAATTGCCTGACATCCACCCCAGCGCTGAGCAGAGGCCCTGGCATGCAGGGGGCTTAATAGATATGTTGCTGTTCTTAAGAGCCATAGGATTCTGGAGAGATAGTTACTGATGATCCCAAGTTGATGCAGGTTACTTTGAAACACAGATGCATAAAATTGGCCCCAGGCTCATTTTTAAAGAGAGAAAAATATTTGTTATAAGAAAATAAGCTAATTTTTTTCTTTCTGCATTTGCCTCTCTGATGGTATAATTTATGAACACATGTACAACCTTAGGCTGAAATTGAATAGCTGAGCATGGTCAACAGTGAAGGGTAGTAACAACATTGACATGTTTGAGGTTAAAATGTTCCCCATTTTTTAACTGCAGCGTAAACCTACAGTCCTTATTATGCCCCATAAATAATAGCAGCAACCACAACAAAAGAAAAACTATAAAAATTAAATTGTGAAAACTAAATTATTTATGTGATTTCATTTGTTAGATGTATTTTGTGCCACTGAGCCTGGCTTCCTTCTGATGTCATAAGACTATTAGGAACTGTAATAATCTTCAGGGGATATGAGATTTATCAGCTCTTGCAGAATGGGATGGGAGCCAAAGGAGGAGATGAAGGGAAACTGGTGAAATTCATCAAGTTGTGCTCTGTGTACTGGCCAAGAGAATGCAGTAGGTTATTATTCAAGCATTTTCCACAGTAGGAACACAATTTGACCACTACCATATGTTGAATTTGAAATTACATGTTATCCTTTTCCAAAAACAATCCCATAAGAATGTCCATACTTTTGTCAACAAATGGCTTTATCCACTAAAAAGGGACACACATACAGAAAGAGAGAAAGTGTTGATATTTACTAGCTCACTGGGAGACATAACATTTTAATCGTGCTACACAAGCCAGACTGGCTTGTGATGATGGAGAGACGGGGTGATGAGACTCCAATACATCACTGTTTCCTTTGCCGTAAAAAAAACAACGGCATCCGTCTCCCTGTGGCATGTGAATGGGTTCCAGTCAGTGGCCTTGAAATATGAGGCTTTCCTCTTCACTTGAGGCGATATTGGAGTTATTTGGAATAGATAGGAGCCATCTTTCCAGTCCTAACACAAAACAAAGGCATCATTGTAGGAGCAATTTTGAAAATGTATGAACTTCATAAAATGTTCCATTTTCCACATTGTGAGTTTGGCTTGCACAGTCGAAACATCAGAGCTCAGAAAGACTACCTATTAAGGTCTCAACCCTTTAGCCTGAGTGTCTGACATTAACAAAGAATAAAGTATGTATCCTATGCAACAGTCATCAATAGTGAGACAGGAAATAAATATGTCACTTTGCATGCCATCCAACCCCAACAGCCAAGGTAGCCAGCAGGTTCAGAGATGTTTCAATGAAGCTGTTCTGCATTTATGTTTATTGCTAAAGCCATATTTTTAATTTCCACATGATGAGGTTTTAAAAGAGTTTCTGTTAGGTCTACAGTAAAAGCGACTGCCTTAACATATTAGTAAACAAAATGGAATATAAATGTGTTGGTTATTTTGTTTTCTTTCCAAAATGAATCAATAGCTCCAAGGCACTTCAAAACAAAATCCACATCAAAAATAAGCTGACACGATAAACTATTGTGGTGAGCACATGGATGCCAAATCCCCCAGCCTTTCCTTCAGGCTTCTAAACACAATACATGTGGATGGCTTTGAAGGAAAACCAAATTTCACTGAAAGACACTGGACTCACCAAGAACTACGTGTTTCCTAGCAGAGTTGACAGGACTCTAGGACTCTAATTGTTCTCAAAGATTCAGCTCATTCGGTTATTCTTGATCACTCGGGGAAATGGGGTCTGACCCACTGGCCAAGTGTAAAAAGAAATAAGCAAGTGAAAAACCATGAAAGGCAATTTTGTGAAGTATTTTGGAATTGTTTTTCAATTGATGTTCATCATTTCCTCAATTGAACTGTGAATTTTCTGGCTGGAAGAAAGCCCTGTCTGCTCCTACAGAGAAAACCACACATTCGTGCCCAGAACTGTTTTAAAACTCAAGTCAGCCTGCAAATGACATAGATGTGGGCTGTGTTTGTTTGTGGGGTGTGTGTGTCTCCCACACAGCAGAGATTATGTGACTTACTTTGACCTGTGGATGCAGGCAAGAGGGGGAACGTAGAAGTGAGATATTTTTGTTTGCTTTTTAAAATTTGTATTTTAAAATATTTATAGATTCATACGAAGTTGAAAAGCTACTACAGAGATGTCCTTTGTCTCCTTTATACAGTTTCTCCCAGTGGGTGAATCCTGCATGATTATAGCACAACAGAAACCCAGGAAGCTGTCCCTGGTACAAGGTGTGCCTGGTACCATGTTACCCCCTGTGCACATCTGTGCAGCCACCTCTGTGATGGACGTACAGGACATTTTATCACCAT
Organism: Homo sapiens; assembly: GCF_000001405.40. Classification (NCBI taxonomy): domain Eukaryota; kingdom Metazoa; phylum Chordata; class Mammalia; order Primates; family Hominidae; genus Homo; species Homo sapiens. The sequence goes on along the minus strand of NC_000010.11, from coordinate 3,280,716 downwards.
TAAGATCTCCCTGGAGCTACCTGGTGGAATTGTGTCCCCCAAAACAATAGGTTGGAGTGAAGTCCTTGGCCCTAGTCATGCTGACTATGACCTTATTTGAAAATAGGGTCTTTATGGATGTAATCAAGAGAAGATGGATGAGGTCATACTGGAGTCGGGCGGGCTCCAAATCCAACAACTGGTCTCCTCGTGAGAAGCGGGGAAGAGGCACAGAAGTCCACATTGGGGGAGGCCATGGGAAGATGGACGCAGAGGCTGGACGGATGCATTTAGGAGCCAAGGATGCCAAGGACGCTCAGCGGACCCTGGAAGCTGGGAGAGGGGAAGAGAGATCCGGATCCCCCCTAGGGCCTTCAGAGGGAGTGTGGCCCTGCCCACGCCATGATTTCAGACTCCTAGTTTTCAGAATGGTAAGAGGATAAATTCCAATTGTATTAAGCCACCCAGTTTGTGATCATGTGTTATGGTAACCCTGGAAAATGAATACTTACATGTTTACAGTCACACGCTCCTCCCCTCCCCAACTCCACCATCTCTAGCTCACGACAGCCACCAATCTGTTTCCTATCACTATCACTTTGTCATTTTGATAATGTTATATGAATTGAATTCTACAGCATGGGACCTGTCGGGGTTGGCTTCTTTCACTCAGCATAATGCCCTTGAGATCTACCTGTAGCTTGCTGCTGTCTTTGCTGAGTAATATTCCCGGGTGTGGATGGCCACAGCTTGCCTACCCGTCCACCGAGTGAGGGGCATTTTGGAGAGTTCCATTTTTTTGCTATTACAGATAACGCTGCCATAAGCGACCATGCACAGTTGTTTCTGCAAACGGAAGTTTTCATTTCTCTGGATAAATGGCCAGGAGAGCAGCTGCCGAGTCCTACTGGGAAGTGTATGTTTAGTTTCTAAGGAGCTGCCTGTTCTCCGGAGTGGCCTACACCTTTGATACCCACACCAGCAATGTGTGGATGATCCTGTTTCTCCATGTCCTCACCAGCGTCTGGTGTGGTTACTCTTTTCTAATTTAGCTGAGCCAATAGGTGTGTAATAAGAACTCATCGCATCTCTCTAACAGCGAGTAATGTTGAACATCTTTCCACGTGCTTTTTCGTCATCCACATGTCCTTTTTAGTGAAATGTCTCTTCATGTCTTTTGCACATTTTCTAATTGGCTTGTTTGCTTTACTGTTGTATTTAAGTGTTCTTTACATGTCTAGATAACAATCCTTTGTCAGATATGTGGTTTGCAAGTATATTCTTCCAGTCTGTATCTTCTCTCAACAGGGTCCTTCTCTGCACATGATCTTAAGGCTAACAGGGTCCTTCAAAGAGCCAAGCCTTTTTTGATGAAATCCAATTTATTGATTTATTTCTTTTATGGACTGTGGTTTTGGTGACATGTTTGCAAACTCTAGGTCTTGAAGATTTTGCCCTATGTTATTGTCTAAATGTATAGTTTTATGTTTTATACTTGAATCTATGATCCATTTTTAGCTAATTTTTGTATAAGGTGTGAGGCTGAGGTTTCTTCTTTTGCTTATAGATATCTAATTTCTCCATGGCTTCATTTATTTATGCAATTTTACACTAAAATTAAATAAACATCCTTTTTCCTTTTGTCTCATTTTCCTGCTGGATGCTGTTAGCAGATAACAGTCTCAGTGCACCTGCTAATAATGTTTACCTCTCCTGGGAGCTGATCTGACACAATTTTAGGAAGCTAGCAGTCTCACAAAACAGGAGTCTAGAAATTGAGACAGTTCAGTGAGATTTTCTTATCAGGAAACTACTCCTGGAACAAGGCAAGATATAAGAAAAGAAGAGATTGTTTAAAGAACAGGAAGTTAACAAAAAATCCAGGAAGCAGTTGGACCATCGTAAGAGTGCTCAGAACTTCAAGGGGGTGGAAAGGCCCCTATGCATCCTGGACTTCCTTCCGAGGGCCACAACTGAGGGGTCTGGGACTAGCGTCAGTCACCCCGGAAGCTAAACCAGTCATCCTGGACTTCCTTCTGAGGGTCACGACTGAGGGGTCCAGGACTAGCATCTGTCACCCCAGAAGCTAAACCAGTCATCTCCATTGGATTTCCAAACACCCTCTCAATATCTAATAAAACATCCTTTTAGAAATACCTCCAGTTACAAAAGAAACCACCAATAACTGCATTTCTTTAATTGCACACACACACAGACACACACACAGACAGACACACACAGACACACACACACACACACAGAGTTATCAAAAATGATGACATGCTAATTGAACATTTCTTATTCACCATACTTGACTGAATCTAATGTTGACTGTTTTCAAAATAAAAACTCCACCGTCATAGGATACATGGCTAGCATTCAAAAAAAGAGACAACTGTAATCCCAGCATTTTGGGAGGCCAAGGTGGACGGATCACCTGAGGTCAGGAGTTTGAGACCAGCCTGGCCAATATGGTGAAACCCCTTCTCTACTAAAAATACAAAAATTAGCTGGTCATGGTGGCAGGTGCCTGTAATCCCAGCTACTTGGGAGGCTAAGGCAGGAGAATCACTTGAACCTGGGAAGCAGAGGTGAGCCAAGATCATACCACTGCACTCTAGCCTGGGTGACAGAGCAAGACTCTTTCTCAAAAAAAAAAAAAAAAAAAAAAAACAAGAGAGAGAGAGAGGCCCCAAAATATTTTTTTTGTAATTCTCATTGCCTCATTTTGGAAGTATGCACCCTTCCAAAGGGATTATCTTGAAGGAAACAACACTTTTCAGTGTATACGTTTGAGTATGCTTCTTTAAAATCCGTAAACTTTGAATCACTTTATTTTATTGAGATGTCAACATGTAATTGAATGTGCTAGGGAGAACTCACCTGACAGTTTTCTAAGTGCTTTCTTTCTGAGTCTCTGTTCAGCTGGCAATCCCCCACTTTATTATGTGATCTCCCCCCACATGTTTTTCTTGGCCAGGAGGAGAACATCACGGTGCAGGGCAAACACAGGGGCTGGGATTTACGCAAAGACAGTGGATAACACCAACCTATCTCTTCTCTTTCTTGAAATCTCATTGTAAAATACAGAAAATGGTCTTCTGAGAGATAGAGACTCACAATCATTGTTTTTAAGAAGAAGACAGGAAAGAGCAGCAGTGAGGTTCTGGGGCTAAGCAGAGAGCTTCTCAGTGCTGGGGCACGGCACGTTGCTCAGATCAGCTTTCCCGGTGAGAGTAACAGAACGCGGAAGGAACTCTAAGAAGCCTATTTAAAAATGACTGACTAGCGGATGTGATAGAGAGCGATTATCAGGGTAGACCATAAGCCTGTAACACAGAGGGGGTGGCCAAGCACAGCCCAGCTTTCGTCCCAAGGATGCCAGCTAAACCAAGGAAAGGTGAACTGGAATTTCATGATCTCTTAAAGTTTGGAGACATGGGAATGTGGGGGCTTCAACAGGAAGTCCTGCTCTCCTAAAGCCGGGATCAGAAAAGGCCACACTCTCAGCAGAAGAGTAAAACCCCACCCTGAAACACAGGATGGATCCACGTGCTCCGGATAAAAGGGAAGGTCGAAAAGCTAACAGAGTTCGGATACAAAACAGAACAAAGACGAAACAAAAAGCTGCAGCCGAACCCTACCTGCTGCTCCATGTTGAAATCTGCCTCCTCAAGTCGGGAGCGAGACCAGAAGGAACACCCGAGACTCCGACATCAGCGTCAGCTGCAGGGGCTCCCGGAAGGACAAGGTGAGAAAAAGAAGCAAAAGGATTGGAAGGAAAACAACAAGGAAAATGGATATAATCTGCATTTTTAGATCATATCACGGTGAACATAGGAATTTTAAAATAGTAGAATGAATAAGAGATTTTGGCCAATTTTCTGACAACCCAAGCAGAATGGTGGGTGTTGGGTGGGGGAGTTTGCCGCTGAAAATGCCAACGTGGCTTTGAAAACCTGGGGCGTGCTTGTTTAGGGATTTGGGTTTGAAAACCTGGGGCGTGCTTGTTTCGGGATTTGGGTTTGAGCTCCTAGTTGGAAGAAAAGATGGTGAAGAATTTTGAGAAAGGGAGTGGCATGATGTAAATGATGCCATCTTTTTAAGGATCACTTGGGTTGGTCCAGGAAATGTGGGGTGTGGCCGGGAGGGCAGTTGGAGGAGGGGGAGGGGACAAGCAACTGGGACCGGGGGAGAGGGGAGAGGGGGAGTTCAGCTGGGGACGCCTGCAGGACGTGAGGCTTGCTGGACCCCAGTGGACTGATGGTGGGTCTGAGAGAGAAAACTCAAGAATAATGTTTAAGTTTGTGTCTTAAATGAAAGCTAACTCAATCCCAGTGACTTGGGAGACTGAGGCAGTAGGATCGAGGGAGCCCAGGAGTTTGAGGCTTCAGTGAGCCACGATCGCACCACTGCACTCCAGCCTGAGTGACAGAATGAGAGCCTGTCTCATAATAAAATAAGTAAAATAAAATAAATAAAATAAAAATGTGAACAATGATGCTATTGACATAAATGTGGAGGGTTGGAGTCGGGACGTGGTTGAGGGAGCAAATACTGAGAAAGCTGCGTCCTATAAAAGGTGGCATCCATTCAAAAACCAAGTGGCGTCACTGTGGGAGAAGTTGGTGGCAGTTCCTCTTCCTTCTCAGCCCAATTTCATCGCCAGCCCATTCCCCTGGTAACTCCATGTCCCTCACTTCCCTCATCCTGATCAGGGATGACCGAGACCCATGAGAAGAGAGCCTTCACTGGCCCCATCAGGACCCAACTAGGACTTGCTTCCACCTGTTCTCCTCTTGCCAGAGATAAACCCACGACGCTATTGCCCGAGCCACTGCTGTGGGGCTTCATGCCCTGGGTCCCGTCCCCCTCACTAATTCAAGCACATGTCTGCAGCAGCTCTCTCTCCCCGCCTACCATTAAATTTCCCCCTTTCAGTCAACTGGGGGCCTCATGACCCACAGGCATCCCTCAGCTGAATCGTTCCTATCAGCATCAAAACCCATCTATCATGTTCCAATTTTATATAAAGTCACCCTGTCTACACCGCGTTCCCCACCAGCTAGTAACTCCGTTCTCCCAGGGCAGGCATGGTCTGGATGTCTACCAAGCCTCTTGACCGTGTGTAGAGTCAGGGCTCTCAGAGAAACAGAACTGGTGGGAGCCATACCTTTATCTAGGGTGAGATTTACCTTAAGGAATCGGCCCATGTGACTACAGAGGCTGAAAATCCCCACAATCTACTGTCCACCATGAGAGGCCTCAAAATCTACCATCCACCGTGAGAGGCCCAGATGATCTGCCAGCAGGATCCCAGCTCACAGGCAGAAGAGCCATATCTCAGCTTTGTGTGTCAGACACACAGAGAGAGTAGTCTCCATTCCTTGGCCTTTCTGTCCTGCTCAGGCCCCCCACAGATTGGGTGAAGCCCACCCACCCTGGGGAAGGCCACCTGCTTTACTCAGTTCGCCAATTAAAATGCTGGTCTCTTTCAGGAACTTCCCCACAGACATACCCACAAATAATGTCTTACCAGCAACCTGGGCACCCCTTAGCCTAGTCGAGTTGACATGAAGTTGTCCATCACTGTCCCTCCAAGTTAGTGACACATTTCTAGACATCACTTGCGGTTACGGCCGGCCATGTGACTGAGTGCTGGTAATGAAACACTCCTGGGAGTGACCCAACTCCTCCCCGGCCCATGAAATGCCAGCACCAGCAGAGCATGTCCCTGTGTGTCAGCCACGTGGAGAGGACCTTAGAGATGCTGGGATTTGAAGGAAGCTGTCCTTACAAGACTCTGTGGAACAGGGATTTCTCACCTCCCCCCTCAAATTCCCACCCCATTAGACTTGATCAACTTGAGCGAAAAATAAAATCTAGTGTTTAGCCACAGAGATGTTGGCTTCCTTGTGAGAGAAGCTGCCGTGACTTACGCTAATTAATCGACAACCCCAAAGCTGCCCAGGCTTGCTGTTTCTGTCTCTTTCCTCCGATTTCTTTTGAAGCCACTCTGGTTGATTTCACCTCTGCTAGTCCTTGGGGACAGCTTGTGCCAGACTTCCCAGGGCATCTGTTTGCCTAAACCAACAGTGAATGTGGAGTCCTCCCCTCCCCTGACTCTCAGCACCGTGGGATACACCTGGTCACCCCCACCCCATCACATTCCTCACCCAGCTCCTGGGGCTCCACTCCTCGCCCCGTGCTCCTCCCACTTTACTTGCTGCTCCCTCTCACTCTCCTTTGCTGCTGAATTAAAGGTCAAGTGTTTGAAACATGGTGAGAGAACTTTCAACCCTCTATCTCTCTTCATAGAGGCTCCCCTCCTAATCCCGCCACTCTTTTACATTCAACGCCAATGTTCGACCCCAATCAACAAGGGTGAGGCTATGGGAGAAGGAGTGCTGAAAACGGCCGAAAATGTCATGTGGCCCAGGGAACGTCTTCCAGGAGGGAGTTTGGGTCAGAGTTGGGGCTGAGCAGAACCGTACCGGGTTCAGATCACTGGCGAGGTATGGGATGTGGCACGGAGACCCTGGTAACAAGGATGCAAGGTGGGCTGGCTGGTTGCGGTGGCTTCAGAGCGCAGTGTGGATGATTGGTGCTAGGCAAAGCCAGCTCTGCGGGGCTCTGCGGCCCAGCACAGGGAGGGAATAAGACAGGGAGTAAGATGTGGATACAGGTGTCCCTTCCAGGGGCGTGGGAAGTGCCACAGGCCTTCCTAAGTTCTTCCCAGCCCTCAGTGAAGACAATGCTTAGGGTGGGAATCCTGAGTCTACTGTGATTGAATAACATACACAGGTGCAGGTGGAGGCCATGACGCTGGCTCTTCATCGTCATGCGCCTTTTTATGTCGGCATCGCTCACTCCTCCGTCACTGGCGCCATCGCCTTGTTGCCTGCGGCACCTGCTCTTTTTGCCACCCACACCCCATCCTCTCCTCGTTTCCCCTGCTCCTTCTTTCTGGAGCTGCCCTGGACTCATGCTGTGATGTCAAGCAGCCTCTTGGGGTTTTCATTTCTTTCTCTGTGAATTAGGCTAACAATGTCCTAAACTATGTTCTGTGAAAAAAATAAAATAAAATAAATCTAGGGACTCCAAAGTCACTATGCCAAAGGGAAGTCAAGCTGGGAACTGCGTCAGGCAAAACTGCCTCCCATTTTTTTCCTAAATAACATGCTACAAAGGTAAGAAGCTACATGCCTCCCACACAATTTGCCCACAGGAAATTCCCTGTGGACAAAGGACAGACAGAACTCAAAGTCATCCCTCTGTGCACCTGAGACAAATTCATACATGATCGCTTCCTCTGCCTATTGATTCACTGAGCCAGACTAAGGCATCAGTGACTGTTCCTCTGCCCGCCTCTCACATGTAAATTGTGTGTTCAGTGAAAGGCTCATCAGAGACTCAAAATTCAACCTTTTGTCTCTTATCTATTTCTGACGTGGAAGTCCCCTCCTGGCTTCAAGTGGTCCTGCCTTTCTGGACCGAACCAGTGTGTACATCTTACACATATCAATGGATCTCATGTCTCTCTAAAAGTTACAAAACCAAGCTGTGCCCCGACCACCCTGAGCACATGTCATCAGGACCTCCTGAGGCTGTCGTGGACACATCCTTAATCTTGGCAAAAATAAACTTTCTAAATTGATTGAGACTTTTGGGTTCACAGTTTGCTGGTCCTGGTACTATCAAGATAAAACAAGAGCAATAAAAAGATCACTGGCAAACATTAAGTGCCTCAGAAACGTAGCATGTTCTAAATAGTGTTATTTTTGCCTGTGGGGCTACTTTTGTGCTTAGAGATTCATAAAGCGAGTGAAATAATGTTATGGATTTAGTGGTAATCCGTGGTTCATCCATATCATTTATTCACTCTGAAATTTTGTTCTTTGTGTTCATTGGACATAAAAGGCATGTGATAGGGCCAAGTGTTTTTATTGAAAATGTAACACAATAGTATTCCCCTAAAATGTATTTCATAAAAGACTGATTCAAAGGGGAATTTAGGAGATAAATTATATTTTTAAAGAACATGGACGAAGGAAAGAACAGTTTTTCATGGACTTATCTGTAGGAAAGTTGCATCTTCTTTCTTTAAAACTGCAGAGTCCTCAGGTGTCAAAGAATCAAGGAAGAGAACATAGGCATGCCTGAGAAATCCCCAGAGTTGAATATGCAGGAAACCCACTGTGGTATACAATAGGAGGAAAAAGTTTGTTCAAGTTCCGCAACTCTAACAAAAGAGACTGAAATCAGTGGAGTACCAAAAGATTCTTATCACACTGTGATCACCCCCAAAGGCCACCTGGAAACAAAAGCTTTTATAATAGCGTCATGCCAAAGAAAAGCTTTTATCTGTTTTAAATAACTTCAGTTTAGCTTGAAGTAATAATTGGATTTTCTCGGGCACTAGGATTGTGCGTGTTTCTGCCTGTGTGCGCGCATGCACGTGTGTGAGGAAGAGAGAGAAATGAGAGAGGGAGAGAAGAGTAGGTCTAGTTGATCAAAATGTAAGTAGAGAGTAGGCTTAGGGAATTGTTTTATTTTATGACAATTTCTTAAAATTAGTATTATTTAAGTGAGTTGTGCCTCCCATGCCTATTTTTAACAGCAATTCTTTTAAAAAGGAATGTATTACAAGCAAATATTTTACTTGTGGCTGTTCTTTAGATAGCATACCTGTATTAGGCTGAGAGCATCCTTTAATAATTCAAAAGACTTCACTTTCATTCCCTCTCATCCTATTATCTAATTCTTAAGGTGTGAATGTGAAGAGAACAGAAATTGTGCAAGCAGTATGCTTCTGCTAAGATAGTAAAACAACGAGGAATACGGGCTGTCAGCCCCTTCGCTATCATCACAGGCGATAGAGTAGGAGGAGGCCATGTCGATAATAATAGGGTAATCCGTCCGATGGGTTGTGGCCTCTTATCTGTTGTTAGCTCTCCCACCAAGTGGTCCTTTCTAGCTTGTACCCTTCTCTCCCCCTTTCTGTCTGCAGCCTGTCCCTGGATGCTCATAAGCAGAGTGGCTACAGTGCAGCAAGGAAACCTTCCAGCAAACACTGCACTTGGCACAGCCGCAGGTCACGTCCCTGCCCACCAGGACCTCTCTGTGATAAGGGCCAACGATGTTTCCATTCCTGTTCATGAAATCACTTGGCGATGAGTGAAATCTGTGTGCGTTGTAACAACAAATGACTGCAACAGAAAATCACCAGATTTCCATCATAACTCAAATGCCAGCCAGGCTTGGTGGATGGGCTCCTCGCTGAAATCTCCATAGCTGCATAATCATTAGCAGTGAGAACAGTCACCTACACGTGAAAGAATGACTAGAGGAAAACAATTCACTCCACTTAAGCAAAGTGATGCTCCCTTTGGCTAATCTAAATACCTTGGGGTTTTGCTAGGTCTTCTCCTTCCTCTCTTCTTCGAGTAGATGATGGAACTTTGAAAGCCAGCGTGGGAGAGCATTACATGGCTGGATGAAAACTCTGCTGGGTTTACAGTGAGCTGGCTCATTATTCAGTGAAACCTCCATCCTTATTCAGCCTTGAATATTTAAATCCATACAGATCGGAACTGTACTCCGGAGCCTGGGAACACCGTGCAATGCGCTCTAAATCCCTGCTTTCATGCGCATGAAAGACCCGTCATTTTTACCCCTCCTACCAGCCTAATTGACCGCATTTCCGTGAACACTCGCTTGCTGGTTCCTAGCAATGAAGACTGTGGGGTCCTTTCTTTCCAAGGTTGTGCTGGAAAGTGGAGAAGGTAAAGGGGAAAGCAACAGGCAGGCAAGGGGAATCCGGGAGAAGGGACTCATCTGCAGCAGTCATGCCTCTCATGGAATCACAGGCCAGGCTATGAGGAAGAAACGCGGGCTTTGCTCTCGGTCACCTAATGACGCTTTGTCATTTTTAAAGGGCATTGCACTGTGATTGCCATGGATACATGAAAAGATAATGTGCTATTTTTAGCATGAAGCATAAAATAAAATCCAAAGTTGGGCAATATGACCCTCACGCCTCCAGAGAGCCTCATTAAAATGAGATGTTTCCCTTCAGAGGTGAACTCAGTAAGTAACGTTTAAATTTCTTAATCAGGCCACACAGAGTTCCCAAATAAAAAATAGTTCTGAAAACAAATCCTTCTGTCAGAGCCCGGGGCTTGCACCATGGCAGCAAAATCCTTCTGACTTAAAGTGGAGGGAGGAGGTGGTCTCTGAATGAAAGACATTTCAAATTTTCAGTGTTCTAATTGAGGAATAAAATGGTATATATTCAGCTAGAAAGTAACCATTGGATCAAATTATACAGTCTTTTGAGTAAGCCAATGTCAGCTTAATAATATTTTAGCATATAATAAAGTCGTGTGTATCAATTCTCATTTTGAACCCAGGTTGAATGTTACTGCTTCAAACAGTAAATAAAAACTGAGATTCTGAGAATAAGGCCAGCTTTGAATTAGTCAAAATTGTTTTTATTACTAGCAAACAGGCAAACCTGTGATAAAACAGCATTCATTTTCCCCATGCTATTTCAATATCCTATGTAATTTTTCACTGTTGAAAGCACTCCCAGAGTACCCTCATGAATAATCCCTGAAACCCCAAATAAATAAAAACCGTTCTCTGATGAATGGCAGTATTCCACTTCCTGCAGTTGAAATGCAAATTATTTTATCTAATTGCGGCTGTGCGTGGCTCCTGACCCAATGACCATCCCCGCAGATTTTCAATGCTGGAGTGAGCCTGGGCACCTCATTCCTTTGCAGACACAGAAGGCAGCAGAGCTGAAGATTTCACCACATTACAGGGTTAGGACTTTCAAATCAAGCCTAGTTCGAAGAGGCCGGCCAAAACCTAGCATTGTGTCGAGATATGCAGCTGTGCTCAAATACGGCTTCCGACCTGAAGACCCAGCTGTCAAGACATTTTTCTCAGTTTTATTCTACCTTCTAACTCTTTCTGCCAACAAACACATTAGCCTGCTTTGCCTAGCACATTGCTCTTTTTTGAAGAAGATCACATGTATGTAAAAACACTGACTTTCCCATTGATTCAATTTTTTAAAAACTATCTTGGATAACAGCAGTCCCAATAGACCAGGTTATCCATGAAGTGATGCAAATCGACAGGAAGCTTGACAAATTCTTCATGAGCTGAGCTGATCTCGACGTCGAACTGAGTCTACTCATCTTGTAAACTGGTGAACCATTTGACCCCCGTAAGGCCAATGTCCTTGTGTCTGAGTCAGAACTGTTCATGAGGTCTCCAAATGGGCCCGTGCAACAGCGGAAGATTATCGTCATAGGAATGCTTAACAGTAGCCCCCTTGAGAATAAAAGATTTCATAGCAGAACTCACGAGTCCAAGGATTTCAACGCTCACCTGAGTTCTAGTCCCAATGAGCAGTAACTCCAGGAAGGCACCAGCGAGTACTTGAAGGACAGAGTAGACCTAGAGCAGCCTGGACTCCACTTAATAATGTGTAGGGATCAATTAACAAGAGATTTGCTGGGCACAGTGGCTCATGCCTATAATCCCAGCACTTTGGGAGGCCGAGGTGGGTGGATCACCTGAGGTCAGGAGTTTGAGACCAGCCTGGCCAACATGGTGAAACCCTGTCTCTACTAAAAATACAAAAATTAGCCAGGTGTGGTGGCACACACCTGTAATCCCAGCTACTCAGGAGGCTGAGACAGGAGAATCAATTGAATCCAGGAGGCGGAGGTTGCAGTGAGCTAAGATCACTCCACTGAACTCCAGCCTGGTGACAGAGTAAGAAACTGTCTCAAAAAAAAATTAATAGACAGTGACAGACCAACAATGGGTGTATTCAGTAGGTCACATTTAGGGTGATAATATTTCATGGTCCATGCCATAGATTATTTGTGTCCCTCTAAAATTCATGTATTGAAATCGTAACCCCACTGTGATGGTGTTAGGAGGTGGGGTTTTTTGGAAGGGTTCATCTAGGTCTCAAGGTAGAGCCCTATTAAAGAGATCAGCGTCTTTATGAAAGAGCCTCAAGAGAGCTCCCTCTCCCTTTCCACCCTGTGGACACAGCAGGAAGGTGCCATCTATGAACCAGGAAGTAGATCCTCGCAAGACCCTGATCCTGCCTGCACACTTGGACTTCCAGCCTCCAGGACCCTGAGACACGGGTGTCTGTTGTTTTCCAGCCAGGCAGTTTGTGGGACATTGTTACAGCAGCTGAAATGGACTGGGACTGTGTACCTCTGCATTTATCTAGGAAGCTCCTATGCGTGTATTCTGATACCAGAACACATGTGTGTTTATTTTTAGTGCTTTTGCAACTTAGACCAGATTAATTCATTCCTTCCACACACACGTTTCCTGCCTACTACATGCCAGGCACTGGGCAGAATGCAGGGCATGGGTCTTGACCCATTTCACATCAGGAGCTCTCCCATGACCCCAGGCCTCTGAGCATTAAGTCAGTGCAGACGGAATGGAATTGCTGACTTTGCATCTGCACTCACTTGCACTATTCCCCCACTTAGACCTGTTGAATATGGAGGGTAAGGAATGACTGTGGCATGGTCCTGTCCCAACCTGACGAGAAGCTTGGGTCTGTCTGAAGCCCAGTGTCCCCGATCAGGCCAAGACAAAAGGCAACCCGGTTATCAGGGATGTGAGGTGACATGAACTGACGGGTAATTCAGGAATACCAATCTGTCCTGAGAAATAACACCCAGCTCAGGAATTTGGACCGGAAATCTATTACCCCACCTTACCAAATTGCCTTTGAAGTATATATGTTTCATTTTATTTTTTGAAACAGAATCTCACTCTGTCGCCCAGGCTGGAGTGCAGTGGCACGATCTCAGCTCACTGCAACCTCCTCCTCCCGGGTTCAAGCAATTCTCCTTTCCTAGCCTCCTGAGTAGCTGGGACTACAGGCGCACACTGCCATGACCGGCTAATTTTTTGTATTTTAGTAGAGACATGGTTTCGCCGTGTTGCCCAGGCTGGTCGCAAATCCTGAGCTCAGGCAATCTGCCTGCTTTGGCCTACCAAAGTGCCGGGATTACAGGCGTGAGCCACCATGCCTGGCCTTGAAGTATATTTTAATACAACAAAAATGTTTCTACTTTTACAAAACGTCAGGATCCAAAGTTTAAGCCCTCACCTTAAATAAGGGAAGGAAAGCCTTCGAGTCACAGGATCTCAAGATCAGCCAGGTGGCATGCAGGCACAGAGTGTTATTGAGATAAAAGAGATTGAACAGAAGTAAAGAGAGCAGTTACGTGAGTGGACCACCCGCCCGGAGAGGGAGGCCAAGGAGGCCAAGGGAGGGAGGCCTGAGAGCCGCAGAGGAAAGTGGAGGAGACTTCAGTGTCACCCACAGGACTCAGGCTCTCTTTTCAGGAACTTTTAACTGATCAGCTTTTATGCAGATAAATGAGGCCATCTTTCCTGTCCACCCCACCACCACCACCACCACCACAACCAAAAGCATTTCCACTACACTCTCCACATATACATGGTATCAAAAATCCCATTTATTCACTTTTATAACAATATACATGAACAAAAAGACACATTTTAGAACCTAATGGCTTAGGACATCAAGACCTTTTTTTTATTATTTTTCCTAGAGTGAAAAGTATTTATATATTCATGATACTGGAAATGTATTTATTGAGTATACATTTTAAGAAGAAACCACACTTAGACAACCACTGATTGCTTAATTATATTTATAGAACAATCTAAATGACACAAGCTTTGGAAATTTAAAAATAATAACATAACTTGGAAAAATCAGGAGAGAGAGGAAGAAGAAAATGAAGAATGAGTCCATTTGCTAAGTTCCTCATATCTCATACAACAGTAGATAAAGTTGATAAATTTCAAAATGTTATTTTAAGTGAATTATTTAAATTCACAAAGTAACCCCTGGATGAATAAAAGAAAAATAAGAAAGCTATTAAAAAGCAAGAGACTTGGATGGTGCGGTGGCTCAGTCCTGTTGTCCTGGCGCATAAGGACGGGAGGCCAGACGTTTGAGACCAGCCTGGGCAACATAGGAAGCCTTCATCTATACAACAACAACAAAAGAACAAGAGGTTTGCTTAGCACCTGGTAGGTAAGTCTACTGGATTATTAATTCTTCTAAACGAGCATCAGCAGACACCAAGTAAGGCTGGGCAATCGAGAAGCAGACACAGAAATTGTTAAAAGTGTTTTTTCCAGGGCATGAGACTAGGAATCATGGGAGGCTTTTCATCAGAGAAACTTCTAAATGATATAAGTGTTGGAAGTTTAAACACAGTCACATAACTGAGAAAAATCAGGAGATACAGAGGGGCAGAAAAGCATCAGGTTTAAAAGATTATCCCATACACATGTGTTAGTCCTGTGATATAAAGAAATACAGACATAAATAATTATGGTATATTAGTAATAATACTTGTGGCCAGACACAGTGGCTCACATCGGTAATCTCAGCACTTTGGGAGACCAAGACAGGCAGATTGCTTGAGTTCAGGAGTTCGTAACCAGCCTGGGCAACTGGCGAGACCCACCCACCCCGCTGCCTCCATCTCTACAAAAAATACAAAATATTAGCTGGGTGTGGTGCCACATGCCTGTGGTCCCAGCTACTTGGGAGGCTGAGGTGGGAGGATTGCTTGAGCTCCGGGAGTTGATTGAGGCTGCAGTGAGCTATGGTCCTGCCACCGCACTTCATCCTGGGTGAAAGAATGAGTCCCTGTCTGAAAAATAAAAGTAAATTAAATAAAATTAAAATTAAATTAAAAGTATGAATAGAGAAAAGTGTTCAAGATATATTTTATTGATAATTTTTTACTGTGGTAAAATATGTACTTCATAAGATGTGCTAAGTTAACCATTTTTAAGTGGACAATTCAGAGGTATGACATCCATTCACATTGTGCGACCGTGACTACCATCCCTCCACAGAACTCTGCATCTTCCCAAACTGAAACCCTGTGTCCACTAAATAAAACTCCCCATTCCTCCATTCCCTCCCCCTGGCAACACCATTCATTCTACTTTCTGTCTCTGTGATTTTGACTGCCCTAAGCACCTCCTCTAACTAGAACCATAAGTCAGTGCACTTCTGAGACTGGCTTGTTTCTCTTAGCAAAATGTCCCCAAGGTCGTCCGTGTGGCAGCATGTGCCAGAATTTCCTTCCTCTTTAAGGCTGCATAATATTGTATAGTATGGATAGACCACATTTTGTTTATCCATTCATCTCTTGGTGGACAAGTGCATCTTTATACTCAGATAAACACACAGAATGCAATGAGTGTTTCCATGGGGACACAGGTCAACTCACAGTGTCCAGTGGCAACTCAGAAGCCATCTGGTCTACCGTCTCTGCAGCAGCCCTCGTCTGACCATCTGACCCTTCATTTGCTACCCCTCCCACATTGTCACCCCTGAAATGTTCATGGACTTGCTGGCCTACCTTCAATGGCCACCCCCACTGCCACCCCTCAGGTATGAGTCACAGGGGCACTTCTTTGTTCACCGCAGCCCCAGTAATGACAGCTGTTCATGGCATGCAGTAGGAATTTGATAAATACTGTTGAGTGCATGAATGAATACTTGCGATGGTTACACTGGGACCAAAAAAAAAAAATCAAGAAACGGAATGAAATGGATGATGACTTTTCACTTTTAATTCTATGAAGTTTGATTTTTGAAATCTATACCAAGTATTATATTCTAATTTGAAAAGTTTAAAAATAATGACCTGGAAGTAAATAACCCCTAATCCGAAAGGTGAGCTGTAGTCGGTAGGGTCTTCCATGTACTCAGGCTCACAAAGGAGAGAGATGGTGGCTTAAGGAGTCCCCAGCTGTGCCCCCAAATCTCCTCTCAAAAATATGTGTAGCCCAGGCTGCACCCAGCCCTGAAACCAGCCCAAGGCTCTCCTTTCCTCTGCTGTCAGAAGGAGGGACGCCTAGGGTCAGGAGGGGCTTGCTGTGGCACCTCCCACACACCCCCATGGCCAGCTGACCCCAGTGCGCTGAGGCTTTCAGGACTTTGCTGAGTGTGTGACCACGGGCAGCTGCGAATGACCCTGCGGAGGGGATGGTGCCAGCCGTGTGGCCGGCAAGCAGCAGGCTGTGGTGGCAGGTAGGAACTTCCTTCTGCTCAGGGAATTGCTGCTGGTATCAACACAGCCCGAAAGAAATATGCTGTATGTCATTAACTTAGGTCTGTTTCAATTACATTCCATCAGAAAACTGACTCTGCCTTTTTGTGGAGAACTTGACTTTACGGGTTGGCTCTGCTGGGAACAGGTTTGTAGAGGAAGGGCTGAAACACGAAACAAAGAGAAGGTTCTGAGAAAGGCCAGGACGATATCCTGTTGTTGTTCAGTGATTCCCTAAACAGAACACTTTGTGAGGGCCCTGCTGGAGGCCCAGGGTGGCTGTTCCTAACAATACCAGCAGCCAGAGGAAGCTGTTAGATGAGTGGGTCAGGAGGAGGCGGTGGCACTGCCCAGGAGTCATTTCTGGGTCGTGTGTGGTGGCCACAATTTGCAAAACAGGAAGGAGAAGAAGAAAAAATGATTGGCAAGTGGCAAAAGGAAGGCAAAAGTCGCACTCTGCTCCCTGAAAGGCAGCAGAATTAAATGGCCAGCAGGACCAAGCAACATCCATGTGGTGAAGGAACCAACCTGAAAGACAAACAGAAAGAAACGCTGGCAGGTGGGGAGTTAGGGGAGTCCGTGAAGGGCATGGCACTCACCAGGAACCAGCGCAACGCCCCCTGCAGCCTGATCTTCCTGGCACCGAAGCACACGGCCTGGGAGCTTGTGGAAGACACAACATTCCGATTCAGTAGCTCCTGAGAGTCTGTGTTTCCAACAAACTCTCACTGCTGCCGGCCTGGGGACCACACTTAGAGACTAAGAATTGCGTTTGCTGCTTCTCCCACCTTCCGCACGGTGGGTCCACCCAGGGAGCTTTAACAACTGCCAATGCTGGGGCCCCAGCTTCTCCACTTGTGATCTAACCGGTCTGGGGTATGGGCTGGGCTTCAGAATGTTTTAAAGCTCCCCAGGTGACACTAATGCTCAGCAGTTTGAGAAGCACTGATGTGGATGAAACGATAATAAGTAACCAGTGGCAATGTGGAGAATTTCAGCCAAGCAATACCCTCATAGACTCCTAAAAAGCCTGAATCCTGGATAAACTTTCAAATCACAGAAGCACATCTTTGTGTTTCTTCTTCATTGGAACAGGTGATAACTGTGCAAATAAAACCAGTTGCCTCCCAAACTGCTCTGAGTCTAAAATAGGACCAAAGAGAAAGAAGTTTTCAGAAAACAAGATGGCCAGTGCATCAGGAGTGAGTTCATCTGGACAGGAAGAGAAACTCACAGTGTCTCCTCTCCTAGGGTGTCCATCATCAGCTCCACCTCTTCCTGAGGCCACCTCCACCTCACCACTTACGTCAGCTCTTCCAGTTCCTGAGCTCAGCTGAACTACCTAATTCGGGGATCTTGAATATCAGCTAGAATTTTGCTGGGTTGAATGTAACAAACAGGAAAAATCCATGACTTATAGGAGATTGAAGGGTATCTCCCCCACACAGCTACGAGACTGGAGGTGGTAGGGCTGGGCTGGGGTGATGGCTTCCCGGGCATCAGGGTCCCAGACTCCTTCATTTCATCTCACTCACTGCTCTGCCTCATGGTAAAAAATGGCTGCCCAGGTGCCAGCCAGCACTTCCGCACAGCAGCCAGGAGGACGAGCAGGGGGCAGCTTTTACGCTCTCCTTTAAGGCAGTCCTGTCCATTGGTCAGAATTTAGTCCTGTGCCCTTCCTAGCTGTGAGGAGGATTGCAAAGTGTTGTACTTGCCAAGACAGAAGTCCCAAGCTACAAAGTTGGAGAAAGAAGAATTCATACTACAAAGAATCCAGTAGTCTTCAACAAGTCCTCTTTTACTTACCCTATTTGACTTCCTACATCTCTTCTCTAACCAGTAATTCACACGAGCCAGGTACTATGCCAAGCCCTTCATACCCACTGTTGCGTTTAGTCCTCATGCAACCTCATGAGGGAAAATTTTCAGAATCCAAATGGAGTTCCCTGTGTTAAAACCCTGACACGCTGGGGAAGGCCATGGAGGGAGGGCTCTCATGAGTGAGGCATTGCAACTTTTCACAAAAAACCACTTCTGCCAGGACATCTGCCAGCAACTGCCTGTCCAGCCTCAGACAGGCATCACCCTTGTTATTGATCCTTGTGGCCCAGGATAATTATCTCAAAACAATTCTGCAATCCTCATTTTCTTAAAAAAAATTATCTCTTTTTACTTCTCTGGATAAGCAATTAGTTTACCATGGCACACACATGCCCATCTTAATGCCTACGCCCGAATAAACACCATTGTCCTTTAGATAGTTTCCTTCTTTGTTATTTAGGTTGACAGAGGTCAGCTTCATTTAGACAACTTGCCAAGGTTACCCAGCTTAGTTTAGGTAACTTGCCAAGGTTACCCAGCTAGCAGCTGATGTAATTAAGGTTTGAACCCTGGTATGTCTCACTCCAAAGCTATTAACAACTCCGACGTTTCCGGCATGGGTTTGATAAACAGACCCAGAACCTCACAGTAGAGGCTTCTAAGCCAATTCATTCATAAGTGCCTGAGCCCCGCCCCTGGAGAAGCCAGATCTGCACATCACAACTGTGGGCTCCTGCACTGCAAAGGCTACCGACTGTACTTTAGTTTTGCTTTGCCTCTTCCTCCTCTTCCTTCTCCTTCTTCTAAGAAAATATTCCAGGAGCTTCCAGAGTTGTGTGGTGCAGCAAAGCTCTAACTTCTCTCCTGAACTTTGATTTCTTATAAGCTTAATAGAGCCGGGTATTCAAGTCATAGCGCCTTGGCTAAAGAAGCATTACTGAATTGTTCCCATTGGCTTGTGAAATTCTTTATATAAAATATGAGCTTGTTTCCTTATTCCTTGTCTCCATAAACAGAAGTCAGTGAGCCCACACCAACATCCCTTTAATGATTTCAGATGATCCAGTACCTTGCCTTGTCATTCCCAATATAAATCTCATCAACCTTTAAATTACATGTGGAGCGGGAGTCTACACCATAAACACCAACCTGGGGAAATACATTCGACATGATTTCTTACAGCAGCCCCTAACACGACCTGTTTTCCCTGAGGTTGAGCTCTGCTTCCTAAATATGCAACAAGCAGGCAAAAATCAGGCTAATGGATCATTCTGATCCGTTGAGTTATGGTTTATTTGAAGAAATGTTCATTTCCTCAGGTCCCTTAGAGCACATACGAGTTTCACACTTGCTGAAGGTGAGTTTCTCGACATCACTAGTCCTGTGGCTTCCCATGCAGCCAGTGCAAAGGGAAATGTGCAAGAGAGACGCCTTCTTCCAAGTGCTGCTCTTCGCTTTAGACGATTAAAAATCATCTCTCGATAGCCCCTCCACTGCAGAGCATTTTCATACACGTCTTTCCGTCTGCAAACTTTTGTTGGAGAAAAAAAAAAATCTACCTAAGCCAGTCTCCAGGTATTGTGTCTACAGCTGGGTGCATCTGATAAGGAATAAACTTGAGTTATCACCAGGGGCTCTGGAGTCAGCATCTAAGAAATGACATTTGGAGAGAAGATGAAGGATCCCCTGAGCGGACATCCAATGATGGTTATGATAAGGTCCAGGAGCCTCTGTGTGCAGAAATGTTTATGTAAAATCAGATCAAATAAAAGGTCTCTCCCTGGTCCCTCAGCCAAATCATCTTTCACTTAGTGTAGTTAAACAAATATTGCTCCGGCTATATCAGATTTAACCTTTTTAAATGTGCACTGTGAGTTTGTCCAACCTTTGTTTAAAAAGAATAGCACTTTTGAGTTCAGGCCTCTCTGAGGAGTTTTGCTTTCCTGCCAATCTTTAGGAGAGACCTCCGTCCCCTTGTTTAGGTTTGGATGGAGAACCAGGAAGACAGACATAGGTCACTTTACCAGGCTGCCTGAAAAACACCCACAGCACTGAAATAACTCTCACCAAGAGAGACACCAGCGGGGCGGGCTCTAATTTGGAATTGAACCAAAACAAGCCAAAAGGGACCTCAAGAACCATCTGGCCAAGAGCATGGGGTTCGAGGTGGACTTGGCTTCCAGACCCGGCCCTGCTTCATGCTGAATGGGAGGGCTCACAAGACCGGAGGTCTCAGGCTCTCCAGACCCAGCTTTCCTATAGAAAATAGGGAATAGGGATGGTAAAAGTAACCGCCTCGTCTAAGTGGTTGTGAAAATTAAATAGGATCCTGTGTAGGAGGTACTTAGCATGGTGCAGGGAACTGTGTAAGCTTTTGTTAGATTTTCCCTGGCCCCAGACGGCATACGTGGTTAATTTCTGTACCAGGACTAGGAGCCGGTTCTCACTGACGGCCATTCCTCCTCAAGGGGGAGTGTCGCGGGGGCGGAGCAGACAAGGCTGACCATGTCCCCTAGTGCCCTGGGGCCTGCCTCACTTCCCACAAGCATGGCCCTCTGCAGTCTGCTCTCAGGCGCATGAGGCCTCACTGTGCCCAGACCACATCTCCAAATTCAACCCCTTCCACTGCATTCTGCTGAGCCGGAGTTTAGTCACAGAAATGCCAAGTCCCGGAGCAGTGGTGTTGCCATCCTAAAGTGGGGGTGTTGTGCTTTTTGGGTGTGCCATGCCCCTTCCTTAAGGCCTGTAGTTACACTGCTTTCAGCTACTGGGACCCCCTGGGCCAGCCGTCCACCCTCCCTCCAGGTGTCTGTTTAAATGGCATTTTCTCAGACATCCCAGTACAGATTAGAACTTGTTACACACCCGTACAGCACCTCGTGATTTTCTCTTCAACACAGCATTATGAACTTGGATGGTTTCATTTCTCTCTCTTTTTTAGAGACAAGGTCTCTAAAGAATCATCTCCGAAAACACACTCAAGGTTTGCAGGGCACAGCAAGGAAGTGTCAAAAGAAACACATTGCCGAAGCACGATAGCGCCACTCAGGTCTTTCTGGAAGGACCTAAAATGGACACGCTCTCTCTTCCCCCCTCCCAAGAGCTGATGACGCTGTTGAAAACCTAATAAGAGAGGAAAGACCCAGGTGGAAATGCTCCCTGCTTCCCCGCTCTGGGCGACCCCAGGGCTGGGGTGAGAGGGGACACACCCACCGCTTGTGTAAGAATCCCCCATGATTTCTGACACCTGGTTGCTAAAAAATCACATCATTCTGCAGGCAGTCAGTGAAGGACGCTATCTGAGCCTCTTGCTAACCCAGCTACATAGCTTGGGATCCAGTCGGTCCGTTTTGTCTTGGCTAAGAGCACAGCCATTTCGCTAGCACTCGATAACATGGGGTCTCTAGGACTCCATTAAAATCTTAGGGACTTCACACCAGGATAAAGTACACTCTCTTGTCATTTTCCATTTTCTAGGAAGACTTCTATAGTTCGATTTTTTTTTTTTTTTTGAGACAGAGTCTCATTCTGTAGCCCAGGCTCGAGTGCAGTGGCACCATCTTGGCTCACTGCAAGCTCTGCTTCTCGGGTTCATGCTATTCTCCTGCCTCAGCCTCCCAAGTAGCTGGGACTACAGGCACCCACCACCACTCCCGGCTAATTTTTTTGTATTTTTTTTTAGTAGAGACGGGGTTTCACCGTGTTAGCCAGGATGGTCTCGATCTCCTGACCTTGTGATCCGCCCACCTCGGCCTCCCAAAGTGCTGTGATTACAGGCGTGAGCCACCACGCTGGTCTATAGTTACATTTTTAAAAACACAATCGCTGAAAGCAAACATGGCCAGGAGACTTAGGGTGAATCTCCGTTAATCACTGAACGGGAAGAGCTAGCTTACAGAAGTTAGGAGCTAAAACAGAACTTGGGAGGACCACACCAACGAAAGGGACAGAGGGAGGACTATAGTCTGATGAGGATGCTGGTGTCCACGGCTCCTCTGCACGGTTGGTGTTATTTCTCACTGGTAGACTCTGATAAGCTGAAGGA
Organism: Homo sapiens; assembly: GCF_000001405.40. NCBI lineage: Eukaryota > Metazoa > Chordata > Mammalia > Primates > Hominidae > Homo > Homo sapiens. Next base: position 3,258,702 of record NC_000010.11, on the reverse strand, counting down.
TGTCCTGCCCTGTGATGCCGGAAATGCCTGGAGGCTGAGAACCCCTCCAGTGTATATGTGGATGCTCAGAACAAGACGTCACCGGTTTTTCCTCGATTCCTTCCCAAGAGCTGCTATCACTGGGAGAAAAATGTACATCTTTAGGCCCAGCCCACTGGGTGCCTGCATTTTTCCAGCAGCCCTCGAGTCCTGTGGTGTTGCTAGTTATTTTAATTGAGTGACACACAAGGTGGGTATGAATGAATTTTACAGCCAATTAGGGCTAAGCATGGATTGTACAGGAAAGAGAGTCTTTTTAGTGCAAATTTATGGTCCACTCAAGACACATAACTTATGACAGGACTAGTAACCGCAGCTGAGCAGGCTTCTTTCCGGAGCCTCTTGTCCTCTAAACGGGTTTTTCTGGACACTTGCAGTAGGTAAGGAGGCTGTCGACTATGGAACTGAGCGAAGACAGGTTCGGGGCTCACCCTTACCGATCCGCTCCGCAAACCTCGGGAATCCCTCTGCCTCTCTGTTCTGTTGTTCTTACCTAAACAATAAGCTATCGGCCTCAGCTGTCTCCGGGAAACTTTGAACTCTAAGAGGGCAGGTTTTACTTGTTCTCCTCGAAATGCATTTCAGACTGGGAGTGGAGTGTGGGAGCGGGAACATTAAGTTAGAGCAGGCTGCAAACCCTCCACCTGGAAATGTGTCTGCACTGCTGTCACCAGCCTGTCTGGGTCTCGGCTCTGTCCTTCCCTTGGTGTGTCCTGGGGTAGGCGTTGAATGAGAAAACCATGGTTGCAGAGGCAACACATCCTTTCCTTGAACAGTGTGCACTTGAGGAACGAATTAAGACCCGTAAACAAGGATGAAAGCCCCCGCCCCGCAGACTTCAGCTCCTCCTCCATGAAGGACGCCGCCTGGGAGGTGAGTCCAGGCCGGGCCAGGGAGGGCCTCCTGTGGGAAGGTGCATTTTCACCTTACAGCCGGGAAGTAGACAGCTGCGTCACAGTTTCACTCATGCCGGTCTCTTCCTGTGCACATTCAATGTTAACATTATTCTGGCAAAAGCCTTGCTGCAGATAGTCTCTCCGGTCCCTCCTACATCTCTTTCCAGAAGACAGTTTAAAAGGACACATTTCATCACCTCTCAGAAGGGGTTAACATCACAGAATTCCAAGTCTGAGGGTGGAGCCCTGATCCTGAGAAGGTTTTGTTGAGTTCGGGACAGTATTTCTTTACCCATCCTTCATGAAGATAAAAAATGAGGCAAAATAGACACTAAAATGGTCTCTGACATCTCCTCATGCCACCAGACAAGGAGTAACCATGGTAACAAGAAGCCTAGAAAAATTGGGGAATGAGGAAGACCAGGAATGAGAGCTCCCCTCAGCCCTGGGGGGACCTGAGTGTCCACAGCTGAGCCTTCTCTGCTTCCCTTTTCTCTTCTGGATTCTGATGGAGGATATTTTCATCTTCCTCCCAAAATCATCAGAAAGCATAAGGACATATATAAACCGCTTTGCAAAAAGAGAGTGTATGGAATAAAAGAGAAAATGAAGAAGAGGAGAAAGGTAAGATACTCCTTACACACACACAAGACTAAAGGAATAACCTGGGCTTTGAAAAGAGCATTAAAAGTTTGTTTAATAAAATAGTCTTTGCTGCAAGAGCTTCTAAAGAGATCAGATATAAAAACCAAATCACTGGGATCTTTTCAAAGAAGGGACTCCCATCGTGCCCGTGAGGAGGTTGTCAGTTCCCCCAACAGTCCAGGAAAGATCCCCTGCGGCCCAGTGGCTCTGCTCACCCTGAGGCCATCCTGTTTGAGAGATTTGCTTCACCTGGGCTGGGAGGAAGAGGAAAGCTTTTCTGGAGAGCAAGCTCAGGAAACCCACCCTTCCCGAGTGCCTCCAAGGCCCCAGGAGCCTGGCAGTCCTGGCCTGGTCTCTCCACAGGCCGCAGCCTCCCTTGCTTTGCCCTCTTTGGTTTGAAAGTTTCTCAGTATACGTGTGGATTTCCACATAGCTTGGAGGTTTCTCATATGTCCTGTATGTATGTATGTTCCACCAAATCTGAACATTGTGTGTTTGGGGGGGGTTGTGTGTTTTCTGTTTTGTTTTGCCTTTTTTGAGATGGGGTTGTGCTCTGTTCACCCAGGCTGGAGTGCAATGGTGTGATCTCAGCTCACTGCAGCCTCAACCTCCCTGGCTCAGGTGATTCTCCCACCTCAGCTTCCTGATTAACTGGGATTACAGGTATGTGCCACAATGCCCAGCTACTTTTTTGTAGTTTTAGTAGAGACAGGGTTTTTGCTACATTGCCTTGGTTGGTCTCAAACTCCTGGACTCAAGCAATCTGCCCACCTTGGCCTCCCAAAGTGCTGAGATTACAGGTGTGAGCCACCACACCCGGTCCAAATCTGAACATTAAAGGCATGTATGTGTGTACATTAAATGTATGTCTATTCATTTGAAATGTATGCTTAATTAAATCTGAGACTGTGGACTAATCTATAAAACCAAGTCATTCAAAGTGAGGGCTAGACCCGGGATGACTGTCTACAGACAGAGCTGTATCAGACTGGGAGGACCAACAGTAGATGCTTAGGATCAAAATTCTACAGTCACATCTGTTTTAATTCCTAAAACCATTGTCAACTGGGCTTTAAAATAAGACCTACAAAATGCTATAAACTGCAATCTACTTGAGTCTATTTTAGTAGCAAGGAGAGGCACTTCAGGTTGAAGGAATGGGTTTGCTCCTCAGGATACCTCATTGAAAAGGGCATCAACTCGAAGCCAGAGGCTAAGTTGGAGGAAACAGTTCCCTGGGACTCTGGAAAGCCGCAAGCAGTAGATTCAGGCTCTCCTGGCTGTGGACTCAGCTCCCTCCCACTGTGTTCCTACCCAAGTCTCAGCTTAAGAAAACAGAAAACATTATGTTTATAAGCTTTCCTCTAAATACAAGCAAATGCATTGTGTATTTGTTTCCTGAATGGTTCAGTAAGGTCTGCACATCTAGAGATTTTTTTTTTTTTTTGAGACAGGGTCTTACTCTGTCACCCGGGCTGGAGTGCAGTGGCGCTATCTCAACTCACTGCAACCTCTGCCTCCCTGGTTCAAGTGATTCTCCTGCCTCAGCCTCCTGAGTAGCTGGGACTACAGGTGCCCATCATCATGCCCAGCTAATTTTAGTATTTTTAGTAGAGATGGGGTTTTACTGTGTTGGTCAGGCTGGTCGTGAACTCCTGACCTCAGGTGATCCACCCGCCTTGGCCTCCCAAAGTGCTGGGATTACAGGCTAGAGCCACTGCTCCTGGCCCCCGGTCATTTTTGCCACAAACATTGAGCTCAGATTTGGCTGGGCCCCGCCTCTCACAGATGAGGGAAACAGCAATTTTGCATGTCTCTGCTCTAAATTTCGTGACCACCAGAAGCTGGATGGAAGTAGACTGCACCTGGGCCTGTCTGCAAAGTCAGGTCTCTTTTGTAAATATTTTGTATCCCTTGGCTAATTACACAAAGCATTAGTCTGATCTCACAGTGTGGGAGGTCTGTGACTTTGCTGACTCTTGATGCCAGCCCATAGGCAGACTGGAACATTTCAAAATCATTTTTTAAAAGTTCGTGAGAGTAAAATATAATGAAAATTGTTCCTAAAAAACAAAACTGTAAAATAGCTGTTGACTCTTTTAAAAAATAACAGAAGTAGCTCAAGATTCTAAAAACAGCAGAGGAGATTGTTCTGTGTAACCAGCAATGAGCAGGCAGGCTGTAGTGATGATCGACATCTGTGTTTGCAAGAGCCAAAGGGTGCCGCTCTTTTACGGGTCTTGGAAATAAATCTTCGGTATGTAGATAGCTAAGAGCTGACCATTGTGTCTCCATTTCAAATTGTGTCCTTTTAATGTGGAAGAGGATTTATGAACTTTATTATCAACATGTAGCTTGTTGAAAATCAAATTTTTGTTTATTTCAGGAAAGCAGAAGTACTCAAATTATTTTATTAGACTTGATGAAAAATGGGCTGGTTGTGCTCAGAGACTTTGATTCTGATTCTAGCTCTCTAACCTTCAGCACTTCTCTGCTATTTCTCTTTTAGGTTATATTTTTAAATGAAAAAATAAGCAAAATCCTCTGCAGTGTTGAAAAAAAGTTGAAGAGCTTGGTCCATGGGTAGATTAATAGATAGGAAGATGATGGACCAACAGATGGATGAGTGGGTGGGTGGGTGAGTGGAGGGGCGGATGGGGGAATAGGTGGATGGTTGGATAGGTGGGTAGATGGGGGGATGGATTGATAGATGGATAGGTGGATGGGAGGGTAGGTGTGTGGATAAGTGGGTGGATGAGTGGAGGGGTGGATGGGGGAATAGGTGGATGGTTGGATAGGTGGGTAGGTGGGTGGATGGAATGATAGATGGATAGGTGGATGGGTGGGTAGATGTGTGGATGAGTGGGTGGATGAGTGGAGGGGCGGATGGGGGAATAGATGGATGGTTGGATAGGTGCGCAGATGGGTGGATGGATTGATAGATGGATAGGTGGATGGGTGGGTAAGTGTGTAGATGAGTGGGTGGATGAGTGGAGGGGTGGATGGGGGAATAGGTGGATGGTTGGATAGGTGGGTAGATGAGTGGATGGATTGATAGATGGATAGGTAGATGGGTGGGTAGGTGTGTGGATGAGTGGGTGGATGAGTGGAGGGGCGGATGGGGGAATAGATGGATGGTTGGATAGGTGGGTAGATGGGTGGACGGATTGATAGATGGATAGGTGGATGGGTGGGTAGATGTCTGGATGAGTGGGTGGATGAGTGGAGGGGCGGATTTACCCCTACCATTCACTCTCACTCTACAGCATGATGTTGTGTTCATAAGGAAAGAGACCAGCAACTCTTAAATGAGAAGTTACAAGTCTTCCATATCAGGTGAATCCCAAATGTTAAAGCGATTTTCCCAAATTATCAACTGATACAAATATGAAATCAGATCACAAACTCTCCTTAAAATAACTTTAAAAGAAAAGAATACACTACAGGTATTGTTAACCAAGTTGTCATTCATGTGAAAATATTTTTTGGCTGAAAGATCATGGTGCATGTAAAAGCATCATTACCTTAGGTTCACTATTTTAGACACTACTATTTTTAATAAAGGTTGATAAACATTCTTACTGTGATGGGAAAATTTGTTCAGTCATATGTACATTTTGGTTAAACCTCTCTTAATCTATCGGCTAAGATTTCCAAGTGCAGAATGACTGAGCTCAGCCTGAGGAGCGGTGAGGGTACTTTCAGTGGAAATGCACAGAAAAACTGTTTTTGAAGGAAGATTTTGAGGACAGAATTCCAACAATAATGTTGAATATAAGAAAGGTCTAAATTTATTTAGCACAAATAGAATTGTACACATTAAAAAATTTGCATTTTTCAAGATAATTTTCAGACTTTGCAAACAACTATATTTTAAAAGTGAGTAACACCAAATCAGACTAATGAAGAGATGTAATTGGGCTACATAGATGGAGATTTCCAATATACAAGAGAGGAAGGGGGAAGGTTGGTGATAGACCACTCTTTTCTATGTCTTTCACTATTTTCCATATTTCTTTCTTTAAATACACTGCACAGGAGTATAGAAAAAAGTGAAAATACAGGTTGACAAACAGGAGTTCATTATTTAGAAGAAACATAAGATTTAAACTCTGGTAGTTCATTACCATCAATGTAGTTTGTATGCCCAGGAGACATAACATGTAGGGATTTGAAGTGATATATTTTGTGAGCTTTTGTAGCTATCTGTAAAAATAGAATTTCAGAGTTTATACACATTTAAACTTGAACGAAACAAGGATTTAACTATTATTATTAAAGATGAGATCTAACTCCCAAGTGGAACTTAGAAACACAAACCGTTGGCAACTCCAGCGTTGTGCAGGTGACTTCCGTGCAGTGGGGATTGCATATGCTGGGCGACGCAAGGGAAACTGCACTGTTCCTGCAGTGTGTGCTGTGCTGTAGATGTGGGAATCTGCACTGTTCCTGCAGTGGGTGCTGCACTGTAGATGTGGGAATCTGCACTGTCCCTCAGTGGGTGCTGTGCTGTAGATGAGGGAATCTGCGCTGTTCCTGCAGTGGGTGCCGTACTGTAGATGTGGGAATCTGCACTGTTCCTGCAGTGGGTGCCGTACTGTAGATGTGGGAATCTGTGCTGTTCCTGCAGTGGGTGCTGTGCTGTAGATGTGGGAATCTGCACTGTCCCTCAGTGGGTGCTGTGCTGTAGATGAGGGAATCTGCGCTGTTCCTGCAGTGGGTGCCGTACTGTAGATGTGGGAATCTGTACTGTTCCTGCAGTGGGTGCCGTACTGTAGATGTGGGAATCTGTGCTGTTCCTGCAGTGGGTGCTGTGCTGTAGATGTGGGAATCTGCACTGTCCCTCAGTGGGTGCTGTGCTGTAGATGAGGGAATCTGCGCTGTTCCTGCAGTGGGTGCCGTACTGTAGATGTGGGAATCTGCACTGTTCCTGCAGTGGGTGCCGTACTGTAGATGTGGGAATCTGTGCTGTTCCTGCAGTGGGTGCTGTGCTGTAGATGTGGGAATCTGCGCTGTTCCTGCAGTGGGTGCCGTACTGTAGATGTGGGAATCTGTGCTGTTCCTGCAGTGGGTGCCGTGCTGTAGATGAGGGAATCTGCGCTGTTCCTGCAGTGGGTGCTGAGCTGTAGATGTGGGAATCTGCACTGTTCCTGCAGTGTGTGCTGTTCTGTAGATGTGGGAATCTGCGCTCTTCCTGCAGTGGGTGCTGAGCTGTAGATGTGGGAATCTGCGCTGTTCCTGCAGTGGGTGCTGCACTGTAGATGTGGGAATCTGCGCTCTTCCTGCAGTGGGTGCTGCACTGTAGATGTGGGAAACTGTGCTGTTCCTGCAGTGGGTGCTGTGCTGTAGATGTGGGAATCTGCACTGTTCCTGCAGTGGGTGGTGTGCTGTAGATGCCTTCTTCCCTGGAAAGTGTGGTGTGAACTGCAGGTGCTGATGGCCCATGGACAGAGGGACCAGACTCCATTATCTGAAAATCTCTAAAAGAAGGAAAAAAATGTTTACATTCCCAAACTTCAGAAACCATTTTGGTTGGTGGCATCATTTCTCAGTCGATTTTGTATCCGGCAGAACCAGATTGAAGTTCATCCCAGCTCTCAGCCAGATCCTCCTGCTTCAGATTAAGCGGAGCTGGGAAAGGACGATCCATGTCCAGCCCTCCCCAGGAGAGCAGTGTCACCATCATTTCGAAGAGCCTCCATGTCTCTCATGGTTTGAGGTTTGGAAACGAGAACCACAGAAGCCTGCAGTCGCTGCCTGACAGGGCGTGGGAGACCACAGCCAAATCTCAGAGGAGTTTCTGGAGGGAAGACTCATTCTGAAGAATAAGAGAGAGAAGACCCAAGAACCGTGTCTTCTGAGGAGATGAGAGAGGAGATCATGAGCACCAGGTGGTTGTCGAAGCTTTAGGAGGTTTGAAGAGAAAGGGTGCTTGGATGGGGAACTACTATGGGATATTAGGATTATTTTCCTTTCATGTTCTTCCTATTCACATTCACTCACAAAGGCCAGAACCAGAGGGCTAAGAGAGTGACAGCAAACTGGCTAACTGCTTGCCTGCCCTCCGGTTGCTCAGGTGAGCTATGGTGTCCTGCTTCCTGACTGTGAGATCATTTATACCGTTCAGAAAACCTGGGAGTCCTGTAGGGATGGGGTGGTACAAGAGCTGGGACTTATCACCAGAAACCTCCAAACAAGCCCAGCTCCATCTCTGTGTGCTCTTGGCCATGCCCCAACAGTGCTGAGCAACTGTTTCCTCATTTATTATTATTATTATTATTTGTTTTTTGAGACGGAGTTTTCGCTCTCGTCACCCAGGCTGGAGTGCAGTAGCACAATCTCGGCTCACTGCAATCTCCGCCTCCTGGGTTCAACTGATTCTCCTGCCTCAGCCTCCCAAGTAGCTGGAACTACAGGCACGTGCCACCACGTCCAGCTAACTTTTGTATTTTTAGTAGAGATAGGGTTTTGCCATGTTGGCCAGGCTGGTCTCAAACTCCTGACCTCAGGTGATCCACCTGCCTCGGCCTCCCAAAGTGCTGGGATCACAGGAGTGAGCCACTGTGTCCAGCTCATTTCCTCATTTATAAACGGGGGTGTCTGCCTGCTCTTCTCATAGGATTTTTGTGAGAATCAAATAAGGCAAAAACACTTAGTAAATTTTGCAGCTCTGCGGAAAGTATGGACTTAACACGAAGCTCTGTGATTATTATTTCTTAGACACATATGTTCACAAATGCTGGTCGATACTGTCTTCCTTGTGTCTGTTGCCTCCGTGTGTGATGTTTGAGCCTTTAGCCACGAGAGGAAAATGAGTAAGACCAGAGATTTGTGGACAAGCCCATCACCCTGGGGGGCACACCAGGCTCCAGCCAAAGGTGGGATAAAAGCCCTTTGCAAAAATGATGATGATGACAATAAGGTGTCTAAGTCACAAAGCATGACTGCACTTTCCTCTTCACTGTGAGGACCAAATATTCATTTTATACATGGCTATGTTCCATGTGTAACTATATATATAGCAAAACATGTTTGACAGTAAGGTTACTATATCCAAAAGACTCCTAGCCTCACACCTATTCAGCTATGGACTCCTGTGATCAAACGTTTGCAGCAAGAAATGTTCTTAAATCTGTAACGTTAAAATAGTTGCTTGAGTAACTTCAGAGGCTCAACTAATCATTCAATTGCTATCGATCACCCTACTAGCTCCAATACTTACACCTGGTGCAGACTGGCCCTTGGAAGAAGCTCTTAACTGAAAATAGCAATGAAGAGACACAACTCAATTGCACTTTCTAACTAGATTTCTATAAAAACCATTTAACTAGTAACTAAACATCACTGTGTAGTTTTAGAAAATTCAATCTAGCCAGCGAACGCAAGTAGTTTTACAGGCTTAGGAAACCAAGTGCTGCTTTGCCTCTCAGAACGGCTTGTTTTTGTCATTTATATTGCTGTGGTTTTAATATCAAATTACTTGATTTTTGAATGTCACAATACTCTCTGGTTTTTATATGAATAAAAGTAATGAAAGAGAAATCTATTAAATCAGATCTCACCTTACAAAATATTTGTATTTCCGAGAAGTTTCAGGTCAAACATGTTCTACTTTAAACAAACTGGGCCAGATTTACTGTTCCAGGGAATTTGCATTGAATCATTCAAATAAACAGTCATTACCCACTTCTCATTTATTCCCTATGAAACGGTGTCCTTTAACAATTTTTAAATTGCAGTCACAAGCCTTATTTTGTCCTTTTTTGGTAAAGTATTTTGCTCCAGGGTTTTTCTATACAGAGAGAGAAAACAAGTTGAATTAGAGAATTGTGTAAGAAAACATTCCTCTTGCTGAAGCTTAATTTTTAAACACTGAGTCTGTGGGAAGTGAAAACTGTTTTATCTGAGCAACTGTGAAAGCACAATAATCTTAAACTGAAATTTGGGCTGGAGCATCTCGGAGATGGAGGACCACACCTACCTCATCATTTCTTCCAGGACTCTCCTTGGTTTCTACGAAAATGACCAGACATCCATGCTGATGACAGAGCAGAAACCACAGCAAAGTGAGCTGAGTCACCGACTCCATTAACTACTCTCCAGATTGTTACTTACTCACAGGGAAAAAAAAAAAAATCAGGGAGAACAAATCTTTGCAAACTGCCCTAATCCCAGGCTTGTGTCAAGCAAATATATTGTGGAATGAGTTCTTTCTTAAAGTAAGAATAGATTTACAGCACATGATTGGGGTGAAATACTGAAAAAATACAATTTAACCTCATAAAGGGAAAGCAGTAAAAAGCTTAGAGGTCTTCATTCACCAACGCAGCAGCTCAGAGGCATGAAACCTAATAGAGGAAATTGAATCTAATATTCACTTTCTCCCGTGCCTGACTTCCTTCTAGCCTCTGTATTATTCATTCCATCTTTTTAAGAATGGAAACAGCACAGGCCTGTATGTTTCCTGCTAGGAAAATGCTTACTGGACGGATACAAATGTTGGCTCTGTTTTACTACTAAAAACACTACTTATATTAAAAATATTTTTTAAAATACAGAAAAGGAAGGAAGAAAGAATGGGAGGGAGAGAGGGAGGAATGGGAGGAAGGAAGGAATGTATTTGATGGAAAAAAATCTCATTTTCCCACTTGACATTTTAAAAGGTGATTCAAATAAATATAAATCTTAATAAATATTTTTAATTTTTTTTTTTTACAAAATCTGTGACTCAATTTCTTCTTCTTCTTCTTTTTTTTTTTTTTTTCCAGTTGGAGTCTCACTCTGTAGCCCAAGCTGCAGTGCAGTGGTGCGATCTTGGCTCACTGCAACTTTCACCTCTGGGGCTCAAGCGACTTTCCTGCCTCAGCCTCCCAAGTAGCTGAGACTACAGGTGCATGCCACCACACCCAGTTCATTGTTTTGTATTTTTAGTAGAGACGGGATTTCATCATGTTACCCTGGGTGGTCTGGAACTACTGAGCTCAGGCGATCCACCCACCTCAGCCTCCCAAAGTACTGTGATTACAGGTGTGAGCCACCACACCCGGCCTCTTCTTATTTTTACAGGAAAAAAAAATCCAGATGTGGGAGCCTCTGTCTATGTTGCTTGGAATATATTGCAGTACAGTAGTGGCTATGATAGCCTTTTAATAGATTTTTACACCATGATCGAGCCCGTACACACACACGGAAAAGTTTAGGAGACCATGCATCATTATGTGCATTGCATTGAAATATTTTTTTTTCCAGTTCCTTCCTTCTTTTCTTCTTCCTCAGTGCTTGCTTGTAGAGGCTCAGTACATTAATTTCATGAGCCAAATGGGTCCTAATCCAAAATTTGAAAAACCCTGCTAAGAGAATGACGCTGCAGCTACTGTAGCCTATTAACCAGCAAGAAGGTCCTGGGCCCCTGACATGACGGTCTGGTGTAATCTTGACTGGACCAGGAATACTTAGTTCATGTGGGGAAGGGACAGGAAATGAAAGCTTTGGTAACTTCAGAAGCTCAACCCATCATTGAATTGCTACTGACCCAGGAATGGATCTTTATTGAGGTTGTCAGTTGGTCGCTAGACTCCCTGGAAAGGCTCAAGGTAGAAATGAACTGTTTCAAACCAAGCAAGGCTGAAAAATAGGCCTTTAAAATCCAGACAACATGGGTCCTGAGACAGCTAGTGTCTGCGTGGCTTTTCCCGGCCCCCATGTCCACCCTATCTGATGTTGACAATCCCGCAGTTTCACTGCCACCGTCATCGACAAATCTTTGCCTTGTTTGCATGAAGTTTGGAAATTAGTCCTTATTTTACTTCAGAAAAACCACATCAGCGCATGGAGATGGTTCGTCTTGCACTGAGGCTCTCACGAGCCTTACTGCCTGCGAAGACTCTGACTCCAGAAGCGGTTCTCCATCCGTAATGGAAAGTCGACATAGAGGCCAGGGGAGGCGAGGCAGGGCTGGAGCCATGGACCTCACCTTTGAGGACCAAGAATGTCTTTCAGTGAGGAGAGGGGCCCACTCACACAGCCTGCCTGCCAAATCGCAGAACTCTGTAGGACACAGGTGTGAACATGAGAGTACTTTTCTAAACTCTTGACTGCTGTGCTCCCCCTTTTGATCAAGAGTCAAAAGAAAAACAATTTGCTATGTTTTGCATCTTCTATGACTGGGCAAAGTACATGGAGGTTGACATGAACAGTGTCATGTTTAGGTCCCTGAGAACTGAGACCAGAACAAACAAAGGCTTTTAGCTTTCGTGAGAGCCCTATCCAGTGTTCATTTTAATAACAGCGATCTCAGAAGTAAACTGTCACTTTATAAAAGCGATTGTCCATCATTCGGTTACCTGGGGCTCATCCAGACCCAAAGGCTTTGGGATGGCCAAAGCCAGAAGCACCCCCCGGTCCTGTGTGGTCACCATGGCTGAGGCCAAAACAAAAAGGTCATCAGCTTCTATTTCTCATCTAGGCATCGGTCTTCTGAACTTTATTTATTGAATTTACTAGACATCCAGATGAACAATAAAACTCTCTTTTACATTTGAAAGGTCAAATCAAGATTAAGTGAGTTAGAGGAGCATTAAAGAATATCCCTGCAACTGCTCACGAAGTACTGGTGTTGTTTAGGGTTTGTTCTCTGTGCATGGAGACTCAGCTGGTCACACAGGAAACTTTGTATATTCTTAAGTCAATGCATTCATTAAAAATAACGAAGCTATTATCTATTTCCATCATGCTCTGATTGTACTTTACAGTATTACATTGCCACTCCTAATTTCTCTTGTCTTAGGGCTTTAATATGTGAGCCTCTCCTCTGAGGGTAAAACCTCCAGCAGAGGAGGGAGACGGCTTTGCTGTCTCTCACTCCCCCAGTGTATAGCACTGGGCTGTCCACAGACCAGCTTCCAGGATATGTTCAATAGGTTTATAAATGTCTTCAAAAGGAAGGGGTTGTATATTCCTAACTCCTTCACAAACTATTTGAATCTCTTCATCCGATATCACGTAAATTTCTAGAACCTAAATAAAATGAATGCTCAAGGAAATAGTAGCTCTCAGTGCTTACTTTCTGGGGAACATCAGCTTTTATGAATGAATGCACCTCGAAAACCAAAACTCCAGCACAGAAATGGCCTCTGCAAGCTCAAGACTGTTAGATGCCAGTCCACCGAGGTTGAAATATTGGCAAACATTAACGGCAATATTAATTTAGCAATGAGAATAGAAGAAAGCCAATCGGCCAATTCGCTTGGCCAGGCCCTTCATTTCCACTCATTATGCTGAGGAGCTGTCAGAGCCCGGGACCAAGGGGCTGTGGATGTCCAGCCATCTTCTCCTCTTGCCCTTAGCGTTTCCTCATAACTCACTCCCAGGAAGCCAGCGCACATTTATTTACCAGGCTCCTTGGGACACCATATGCAGTCACTCCTGGACTCCTGTTCATGGCAACAAGAAGGGCCCCAGCAAATCAGAAAGCTGCTCACCCACGCTGCACGGGGCTTGCTGATGTCCCAAGTTCCTCTCTTGAGGCTCCGCGGTTCTCATGTTGGGGCTGACCCTCTCACACTCGCCATCCCTGGGGCCAGGCCCCAGCTTCCCCCATTCAAGCATCAACTCCAGGCAGGCGAAGGACACCCGGCTCCCAGCAATCCTGGTGCTGCGGTATTTAGTCCCTCCCTTCTCCTTGGCCTTGATCATTGCCTTGGCCACCCTGTACGTTGGGTGACCCCATCTGTCTAACACAATCTCGCCAGTGCCTTCTGATTAGATCTCAGCTTCCTCACATGACTTGGGGCTCCAGGGTTTGGGAGGCGCTGGGCTTTCCCTTGGTTTTCACATTACACAGTGACTGATGAGAAATTCCCTGCTCCAATCTAAGAATCCCAGTCCCAATGCCCACGGGAGGAGGGAGGAGCATAGCCCCATCACCCAGTGGGCTGCTACTAGTGAGTAAGGCATTTAGGCATAGACAGTGCCTTTAAAGACTGAATGTTGGGGTTTGAAGGAGCCAGTCAACCCATGGGAACACCTGTCCCCTGAAACAAGGAGGGGAACACGTTTATAAACAGGTTTTCAGCACCCATTCCAGTTGAACATGGGAACACCTGGTATATCCGAGGCTGGCTCTATAACACCTGGTACATCTGAGGCTGGCTCTGTAGCACCCAACACTACCAAAGCTAAAAGTCCGTCTTCTTCAAAGGAGCAGGGATAAGAATTAGGTCAGCTCGTGCAAAAGCTTTGCAAAGCTCAGTGATTGCGAATGACCATGTTCTGAGCATCAGCACACAAGACAAAAAGGTTTAGAAAACATTCTGGTGTCTCTACGTCCTTAGAGACCAGCACTCCATCGGGATTCTTTTGGGGGAAGATTTTATCATGGAAGTTGGGGAGCACATTATTGACTTGACAGCAGATTAAGGCTATGAAGAAAATGTGCTAAAATAAACAAATTTGTGCCCTGCAGTAATGGTGAAATTGCCGGTAATCGCTAAGTAAAAACCACTGAAGAACAGGACAGAAGCCAATGACCACCTCACCTCCACCGAGTGCCCTGCAGGTAATGACATACCCAAAACCAAGAGAGGGAACAGCTTTGATTGATGGACACAAAAGGAAGTCACAACAAATATGTGTGAATATAAAACCTAGGAAGATCTTTCTTTCTTAGACAAAGAAAGATGATTAACCCGGGAGCCCTGTCCTGTGTGTTATTTGAAGAGGCTTTTGTTAAATCCCCAAGGCAGCTTTGTGGACTCCTCAGCACACCACACTTAGGAAATAGGAGAGCGGGGTGGTGAGGAGCTGTGTGATCTCCTGGGAATCCCTCCTTCTTGGGCTGGGATCCCCTCATTCGCCAAAGGGGGATGCCACAACCTTACAACCTGAGAGGGGCTTCAGGGCACCCTCTGGCTTTTACCTGTGAGAAAGGATATTGTACGTTTTCAAAGGCCAGAACTTATCCTACTCCAAAAGCTGTCTCGCATGAAAAAGTGTGAAAATTTGCACAACCAACAACAAGGGATAGCACATTTAATCCACACAAGGTGGGGTGTGGCCCGGGCCCAAAGTGCCATTCAGCATCAGATCTGGAGCATGTTTCGGGACGGACCCATGGCTGGCACCCATCATGCCAGGGAAACGTAAGCCATTGAAGCTAAAGTGTTATGGGTCTAAGTATCAAGATGTTTGGCATTGTGTGTACAAAAACATCGATAATTGGGATGTACGTTTCCGTTTTCATTCAAAATATTATCAGTGGGCCCAGGTGTACTCTATGACCTTAAGAAATTATCTCATTTCCTAACTTTCATTTTCATATATTTCCTTCTTAGCTTACTAACTTTAAAAGATGCCCATTCTCTCCGTCAATCACTGTAACCTGTAGGCAACTTAGGAATTTTTTCAGCTTCTTGAGACTCTGGGGCCACCAGGGATGAAACCATTTGCACTTTTATTGGTTCACATAATGGCATTGGGAGGGGAGACAGGGAATACCTGTGAAGTCACAGAAGTATTTAACCTGTGCTCCTAGTATGACTGTATTAAACATAATAGTAATACGTATGTATTTTCAAAACCTTAAGATGATGCTCTCTGCTGTTTGCTATTTATTGTTATTATTTTTTGAGACGGAGTCTCACTCTGTCGCCAGGCTGGAGTACAGTGGTGCGATCTCACTGCAACCTCTGCCTCCCAGGTTCAAGTGATTCCCCCGCCTCAGCCTCCTGAGCAGCTGGGATTACAGGAGCGCCAGCACGCCTGGCTCATTTGTTTGCCGTTTTAAAGCTTACCACATTCACTTATTTTTCACTGATGTTTATACTTAGCGATGAGGAAGAAAGCTCAGGTGACTTGGCTTCCTCAGGGGAAGGTCTTCACGGAAGGTTTCCAGAAGACACCTGTCGGTGAGATGCCAGCTGCTCAAGACCCTGCAGAAAGCCCTGTCCCAAAACCCCCTGGAGTGCCCAGTGCTGGTGGGAAGGTCACGGGGGCGTGTTTTCCCAGAGAGACAATAACTTGAGACTCACTGTTGAAGTCACCCGTACCCACTCCATTAGAATGCAGAACCCGCCCCATTAGAATGCAGAACCCGCCCCATTAGAATGCAGAACCCCCCCGCCCCCACCCCCCACCCCGGCAGCTCTTTCTGCTCAGGGTAAGGCTGAAACTGATGGGCAGACAGCCAGGAAGCGTTCTGAGCTTTGGGTTCAAAAATGAGATTCAGGGCATGCGATGGGGTCCAGGTGGCAAAGGACCCCTCCCACACGCCCGGGTCACTCCTAGCATCGTGCTGGCAGCACCGACCCACCAGCCCCTCCTCCTCCTCGATCTCCCCGCCTTGGCCTGCCTCTCTCCATCTCATACACAACACACAAACCACACATACACACCCCACACACACACAGACTCACACACCACACACACCACATATGCACACACACATTCACACAGACACACACAATCACACACCACACAGACACACACATTTCACACACACACTCATACCACACATACCACACACAGTGTATATGCGTGCACACACACACACTGCTGCACACACCACACATACCACATATGCACACACACCCATTCACAGAGACACATACACACAGACACACACACACCACACAGACACATACACACCATGCACAAACACACAACACATACATATACTACGAAGACACACACACAGAGACACACCACACACACAGTACACATGCACATTACACAGACACATAAACACACACCACACATAGAACACACAGTGACACACCACATACACTTACACAGACACACCACACATGTGCACAGACACACACACATTCACACACACAGACACACACACTGCAGGTGTCCTTCACACTAAGCCTCCCTGTGTTCACTGAATGTCGGGTGGGAGGAATGCATCGAGCAGGGAGAGGGTCCCTTGACGAGGGTGGCTCTGGGTTGTGTCGCGCCCAACACCTGCAGGTCTCTCCCTTTCTTTCCTCTTCCAAGGTAACCAGCGTGTTGTTTTGTCTCTTTCCCCTACACGGCCAGACATGGCTTGCAGAGCAGGGGCTGTTCCATGAACCCCTGACTCTTCCTCACACTGATCTGTGTGTGTGCATCTGCACATGTGTGTGAATGTGTGTCGCATGTGTACACTGTTGTGTGTACACGGGCGCTTGTACGTGTGCCTGTGTGCGTGCATGCATGTGAGCCTGTGTACCAAGTCTCCCGTGCAGATGCCTGAGGTTAGTGGCTGAGTACGTGGAACTTGGAGCTCTTACAAGTACTTTGAATATGAAAAGACAAATTCGTGCAATAGAGGAGCATGAGTCCTTTGCAGCTCCCTAACCGTCCATTTCATGTCAATGCTGATGTTCGTGACTGTGCGGTGCGTTGACAGAATGACAGAGTCGGTGCCTCCCCGCACTGTGGTCCCGCAGCACGATTTTATTCAGCGTGCACACATGTGGGCTGCCGGAGTCTTTAGAGTAAACAGGAGCTCACGGAGACCTGGCTGCTCCCAGGAGCACTCGAGACAGCCTCCCATGACATAATATCGTTACCGTGGCAACAGGGATATTCACTACCAGAATCACAACTATATTTCACCAATTTAGTGCTCTACTAAACACAAAATAATGCCTTCTTTAATGATGCTGGGCTGTGGTTCTTAGAAACACGGAGCCCCCTGGAGCGGGAGCCCAACTGCAGAATAAAAGTGCAGAAGGAAGGCCCCACTTGTGTGGAGAGGCGCTGCGGTCTCCCGGCATGAGAAGCTGGCACGGTTATGTGTCATGGTTCTCCATAAGAACTTTTGCAGCAAATGGCACCCACACGCCTTGGTGGCAACTCTTCCAGCCTGGGATGAGATCGGCAGAGCCTGGGTCTGAGAACTGCAGCCAGCGACTCGCTGGGCTGTTCCATGTTCCAGGCAGCTCCGAATCATCTTTTTTTTCTTGAGACAGAGTTTCTCTCTTGTTATTCAGGCTGGAGTGCAGTGGTGCCATCTCAGCTCACCACAACCTCTGCCTCCCGGGTTCAAGCGATTCTCCTGCCTCAAGCCTCCCAAGTAGCTGGGATTACAGGCATGCACCACCACGCCCGGCTAATTTTGTATTTTTAGTAGAGACGGGTTTCTCCATGTTGGTCAGGCTGGTCTCGAACTCTCGACCTCAGGTGATCCACCTGCCTTGGCCTCCCAAAGTGCTGGGATTACAGGCATGAACCACTGTGCCAGACCCGAATCATCGTTTCTGCACATGGAGAAAACCACGTGGAGAAAACCGGCAGGAGAAGAGCATGGGGCAGGGTCTGTAGGAAATGCTCAGAGAGCTTCCTGGAGGCAGGGCTGGGGAAGGCACAGGGGAGCCCGGCTTCTGCGGACGTTTCCTCCCAGGATGAGGGAGGCAGGGCTGCTGGAAGACTCACCTTTCCTCTCACTGCACTGCCATTTGTCCCAACTCATTTCCGTTCTATGTTGATTGGTTCAGAAAACATCCTATTTGGCAAATCCTAAATAGTCTCACTTTCTGTCATGGTCGTGGAATCTCTCCGTCTCGACAATGGAACCGAATTGTAAAGCGACTCTAGCTCTGAATTCCTACCTCTTGCCTTTTGTTTTTTTCCTAGAAAAAGGAAATGGAAATCCTTCCTGTTATTCTCCGCGTCCCTTCGTAGAAGGCTGCCTGAGAGGTCAGCACAGGAGTCCTCTAAGTGCCCTGCAGAGAACACGGGTCTCGGAGCCGGACAAACCTAAATTTTGAAACCCACTTTGAGTTTGAACTTGGCTGTGGGAAAGTTACACAATCGCTCTAAGCCTCTGTTTTCTCATCAGTAAAACAGAGAGGGGTTGCTTGTGTGAGAAGTGGCCGCTGCCAATCATCTGCGTGTCCTTCACTCTCCCAGGGGCCATGGGTCTGTATTCTACACATGTGGGATCTTCCTCTGGACCCTTCGGACATGGTCCACACGCTGCCCTCAGGATCTGCTGGGGTCTGCATGGGGGGTGAGACGTGAACCCCAACCACGTTCACCACAGAGAGGAAACTGGGGGGATGGAGGGGGGGACAAGGCCAGGTCACCTTCAGGTGCCGCCCGCCAGCAAGGCGGTTTGCACCCGGCTGAATGAGCTTTAAAAAAGACAGTTTTTTCTGTAGTTTAGAATCATGGTTTCACTAAATGGTGAAATAATTTTATGCCACTTCCCCTACTAATTACCATCTCATTGTTATTAGAAAGGATGGTTTCCTTGAAGTCTAGAAAATTTTGTTCCAGTCCATTTCAACGGTGCAGGAGAAACGTGGCTTCCATTCCGAGGAAGACGGCGACACCTAGTGACCGTTCCCTCGCGGTGCGATGGCCTCACACCTGTGCGGCGGGTCGTCCGGGGCGTAGGGTGCTGCGGCCTTGCGGTCTTCCCTGCGCTGCAAGGCAGGGCATGGTGGCAGATTAACACCTGGATGAACACGGGCAGGTCAGGAGACAAATAAAACCCAGAGGTCTTTGAAACTTCAAAATCCCGTAGGGTGTGTGACCCCAGTGAGCCCCACGCTACATCCAGCGAGAACCGAGAAGTGATGGTGCAGACATTCTTGGGTCCCCCAGACAGAACACACCGGGAGTTACTGCCTCTTTCTCATCCCGAGTCCTCCTGACTTTCCCCAGCACCCATCGTGGCTGCAGCCAGGACACAGGTAAATGTAATTTCCCTCCCCTTCCATCCTCGCTTTCACATCGGTGTGATTGACTGAGGGCCTGCAGACTCTCTCCACGTGCGGGTGCCCTGCAGCCTGACACACAAATGCGTTCATCCTTCCCCTTTATCCTGACCCCGAACTAATGACGCAGCTTCCTGAGACACAGAGGATGCTTCTCCTCGTCCCCCCTCGCGCTCTGAAGTGGGAAAAGATGTGTTCCATCTGTTCTGGAATTTTCACTGTAAAGAAGAGAATGAATTTTAACTGTGTTTTTGACATATCCCTAAACAAGAAGTGGTTTATAGAGTGAAACCATTTTCCCTTCATCTAAAATTTAAAAAAAAAAAAAAAGAGAGAGAAAAGTGCAAGACTGAAGATGTGTGTTGAGCGGGGTGAGGAAGCGTGGGGGACTCGGCGCTGGAGGAGCCCCGGGTGTGTTTAGGGTTTGTGGTCAGGGGCCCTGGGCACCAGGTCCAGTCTGAAGCACCCGGGGGGATGGACGATGTTTGTGTAAGAGAGGGACAAAGGGATGGCAGGGTGGCCAAGCAGAGACGCGATTCCCTCTGTGCCCTTCCTGGACCAGCTTTGTATTCTAACAGCAACGTCTCTGTTCTTGGGAAGAGCTCCTCGGTGATTACCTGCCCGCCCCTTGTCTCCTCTTATTCCCGCTGCCACAGGGCAGGGCCGCCCAGCTCCAGCTCAGACACACACCTGCTCCAACTGCTGTGCTGGTCACAGGCCCAGAGCACCACGTGTCCTCTGGGGTCTGTGTGGTCGGCGCCGTGCGTGGGACCACTGTGAGTGACCCTCCTCTTGTGTCACAGAGCCACTGTACCCGTGTGCACCTGTGCTCTGAGACCTGGATACCCCTGGAAGGACAGACACCGAGGACCCGAGTGCACTGGAGTCCCGCTCCCACAGATCCTGCTGCTGGGAGAACTGTCAGCCAGGAACGGGACTGCGGTGGGGAATTCCTTCTGTCAACACACTTTCTAATCTAAGCTCCAGACTCCACTTCCAGACTAGCACAGGCTTTTTCCCCCACATCTCCTTCTCTGCAGCCGGGGCTCCTGCCGGGTCTGCGGAGCCCAGAGCCATGCTCTCTGCCGACTCCATCTCCAGATGCCTGCCCCGGCACCCACGCTGTTGCCAGGACACCAGTGAACCCAGACAGGGTGAGCAGGTTGCAGCAGGGTACCGGGAGGAATGCCCGGCTGGCCCATGTCTTGAAATCAGTCTCATTGAACAATCCGGGAAAGAGATGACCTAGCCTATTCTAAGGCTATCGATGTGAATTGGATTCTTCCATTTCCCCTGAATTCTCTGATTAAAATGATAATTATGCAATAGCTGTTTTCCATTTTAAAAGCTGAGTATGACTTCCCTACTTGGTGGAAGGCTGTCTGCCCAGAAAATGTTGCTATTTAATGCTTTCTGAAAAAGCGTTATCTGTATTGTATGCATAGAATCCACTTGTTGCCACAATGCCCCCTCCTAAAAATTATCGCTCGGGCAGAGACGCAGCTGGCTGGATCTGGTTCTGCCCCCACCTGGTCCCTGGGTCCCCTCTGAGGCCTGCGTCACCTGCTCTGCGCAGACTTCTGCCACCTCTGGATGGAGGCCATAGCCATCATTGCACAGAAGTGCACCTGCGCGCAGTGGAGTGACTAACGCCCGGCTAAAATGTCCAGGAGGCGGGGGCCAGTGGCCTGGGCAGACCCGCACTGGCTGGCCGCACCTGCCTGGTTTGTCATCACTGGTTTGTGAATAGGCTGGAAATGCAGAGAAAATCCAGACACTACACCAACAGGAAAACGAAGTCTCCTCAGCCTCCCATCACACAGCCACCCACAGTGCCAGGACGGGCTTGAGGTGTTTCTCCTGCTGCTTTAAAATAGATATAGATAGATGTCAGGCCGTTCCATTCGTAGCCATAGCTCACCCCTGGGTCTGGCTGTCGAAAACCTGTTTCACTATGGAGAAATGGGGCAAAAATACAAGTTATACATAGTCATTTTCAAGCGCACATTATATATATTCTGAAACATCAATAGGATTTCCACCCAGTTCAGGACACTTACCTTAAATGTACTTCAGCCTGCAGCCTGGGTAGTGTCATTTTGTGAAAAGGATGATATGCTATAAATAACTGTCCGTCAGACCTAGAAGTGGGATGGCTCATGAATAATGCATGAGCTGTGCACAGCAGCGCTGCCCTTTGAATCAGAGAACATGTTTTTCCCTATCTCCAGAGGGAGAAAGCCCTCTTCCAGCCCCTTTTTAAATTCTTCACTTGGAATGAACCTGACTCCTTCTTGGAAAATCCAACCCCAAATCAACACTCAAGTCCTTGTGTTTTCTTCTCCCCACTTTGAACAAAGGGTGGCTGTGGGTTTGAGGGTCTGAGTCTCTCCTCTTTGCCAAGGCTGCACAGCTGTAGCCCCCACTCCATCCACCTCCAGGCGCCCGAATCCATGCCAACAATTGAAGAACACGCGAGTGACCCTGCTACCGCAGGAGTGTGTTGCAGCCAGGGCTGATGGGGAGCAAATGCAATAACCCTATCTCTGCCGGACTTGCACCTGCTGCCGTCCAGCTTGGTCAGGCAACTCCCACGCAGGAGCCGGGTGACAGGCCTGGAGGGTGGCCTTGCTGGGCCTGGACACCAGCACACGCTCGAGGCAGAGCAGCAGGTCAACCTGCCATTGCCAAAGGCCTGTTGCTCTCCTGCTCCGCCAGCCAAGGCCTGGAAGGGAAGGAAGGAAGAAACAGGGCCCGAGTGCCCTGGCTGGGATAATACCAGGACAAAGGAAGGGGACGGAGAACGGCCTCTGCCTCTGGAAGGGAAAGTGATGGGGTCAGGAAGGAGGAGATGGTCCCAGAGCCAGATTGGAACCCGCCAATGCCAGGAACCAGCAAATAATTGTTGAACAAATGAATGAATGAGTTGATTGTTCTAAAACTTTTGATAGTCTTGGAATGGGGACAGTCCAAAGCTATAGGGTCTCATGGGATCATTCATTCTTTCATCACACGGCTGTGGAGGACGAGGCTCTGTGCCTCTCATCTAGTGGTGGATTTAGAGGAGTTATGAGTCACAAATGGGGCATCCGTTTACGATCTTCTATGGCCCATTAAGGGATTCCCATTCACCACTTAAGCCGCAGGACAGGGATATCGCGTTCCTTTTCATTCTCCGATCACTCACTCACCCACCGAGAACTGTGCTGAGCCCACCCCGTGCTCACAGGACGTGGGGCCCACAGTGAAGGGACGGGGAGGTGAAGTCAGGGAAAGAGGAAAAAGACGGATCCATTAGACACAGGACGTGGCACGGGATTGTTTAGGAAACTGCCATCTTCCTGAAAATATATATTGTCTTTTGATGACTCCCTTCTTAGGGACAAGTCAAATTAACTGAAGAAACTTCTTTTCCCCTTCCCCAAATTTTTGTTGCTACCGTGCAGATATGGATTTAGATGATAAATATCATATATAAAGAGGCCACGAGACTTCTGCTCACTTCCTATCTGCCGTGTCCCTGGCCCTGTGCAAATAAAACCTCTGGCGTCTGCATCTACCTCAGAGCCTGCTGCTGCCACCATTGAGAGATGGAGAAGCAGGAGAGTGTCTGGGGAGTCAGGCGAACCCCAAAGACAACCCACAGACTCTATTCACACAGGAGCTCGAGTGTGGGGAGGCCAGCAAGCCGCCTCCCTGGCCACAAAATCTCAGTCATGAAGGTAAAGGCCAACTACATTTTAATGCAATATGTTTTTAAAAACCAAAGTTAGTACAAAAACCCATGACAGACAAAATATCACAATTTTAAAGACAGAATTGCTGATACTGGATTTTTTTTTTATCCTATGTCTCCAATATGGCTCAGCACGGCACCGGGCCATTGTGTCTAATCTCGATATTAACTTGGCGTGATTTTTTTTCTTTTTTTTTTTTTCACTCTGTCGCCCAGGCTGGAGTGCAATGGCGTGGTCTTGGCTCACTGCAACCCCCACCTCCCAGGTTCACGACATTCTCCTGTCTCAGCCTCCCAAGTAGCTGGGACTACAGGTGCCCGCCACCACGTCCGGCTAATTTTTTTGTATTTTTAATAGAGATGGGGTTTCACTGTGTTAGCCAGGATGGTCTCGAACTCCTGACCTTGTGATCCACCTGCCTCGGCCTCCCAAAGTGCTGGGATTACGGGCGTGAGCCACCGTGCCCGACCAACTTGGCGTGATTTTCTTTGCATTCACGTGGATGTTTTAGGAGAGCCGCGGCACCCTCTGCCCCTCACTGTCCTCATCATCCACCAGTTCTCCACTCGGTGCCAGGTCCCCAGCTGGCATGCGTGACACCACTGCAACATGCTCAGTGGCCCCTGAACCTCCTCCAGGAGACGCCCACACTGGGTTGTAACTCCCTATGCAACATCGGCTTCCACCACTCGACGGTCGGCACAGAACCTGGTCCTCAACCACCCCTGAATACATAAACGATCCTATGAATCAATCCATCCATGAATCAATCCCCCAAGCGTGATCATCCAGACGGGATGCAAAAGATCCCGGTCCTGTTCTCCTTTCCCTTCCGCTTAATACCTTCGGCTTCCTCCTTTTCATACTCCAGCCTCCTGCCTCCTGACCCACACACACCCCACCCCTAAGCCAGCAAAGCCAACGGGTCCAGGGGTGACCTGCCGGTGAAGAGCGACAGAGCAGAGGCACCTCCTAGGGACTGGGGCTCAGACGACCTGGCTCTGGGTAAGACGTTACTCTAAACACGTTTCATGGTTTGTGTTTCTGCTTATATAAAATAGTCATCGGTAGGATTGCCAAGAGCCCAGTTACATTGAATTTTAGATAAATAATAAATAATATTTTAGTATAAGTATATCCCAAATATTGCATGGGATATACTTATAGCACAAAAAAAATCATGTGTGATTTATCTGAGATTCACATTTAACTGGGTAACCTGTATTTTTATTTGCTAAGTCTGGCAGCTCCATCACTGATGTGCCGTTTTAAAACTTCAGACATCACTTTGGCAACAGCATGGTGACCTCATCTCAACCCCCAGCTGTGCCTTCGAGTCTTATTCAAAACGGCATCTTTTTAAACTCCTGGAAGGACCAAGTCTCATGATTTTTTAATACATGATATTTGTCATCTAAATCCATATTTGTGCAGTAGCCACAAAAATTGGAGGAAGATCACAGCTGTAATCCCAGCACTTTGGGAGGCCAAGGCAGGTAGATCACAAGGTCAGGAGTTTGAGACCAGCCTGGCCAACATGATGAAACCTAGTCTCTACTAAAAATACAGAAATTAGCCAGGCGTGGTGGCAGGTGCCTGTAATCCCAGCTACTCTGGGGGCTGAGGCAGGAGAATCGCTTGAACCAGGGAGTTGGTGGTTGCAGTGAGCCGAGATCGCACCACTGTGCTCCAGCCTGGAGACAGAGCAAGACTCCATCTCAAAAAAAAAAAAAAAAAATGGAGGCAGAAGAAAAGAGGTTCCTTCAGTTCACTCGGCTTGTCTCCAATAAATGTGTCATTAAAAACAACCTAAGTTTTCAGGAAGACTGGGATTTCCTAAACAATTCTATGCCACGTCCCATGTCTTACGGATCCGTCTTTTTCCTCTTCCCCTGACTTTACTTCCCCCATCCCTTAACTGTGGCCCTGACCTCCTATGGGGCACCGGATGTAATCACAGCAGTTCTCAGTGGGTGAGTGAGTAATCAGAGAATGAAAAGGAAGGTGATACCCCTGCCCTGTGGCTAAAGTCATAAATAGGAATCCCTTAATGAGCCACATAAGATCATACAGAGATGTCCCATCAACAAAAGTCCTAGAATGATAATAATAATAAAGTCTTGAAAGATGTATTTTGGGGTAGGATATTAAACACAGAAGGAAATTAACCTGACACCAGGCATGTCAGCCTCGGTTCCCAGACCCTCCAGCACACACATCAGGAGACCCAGGTACAGGCTCATCTGTCTGAGTGACTTTCCAGCCCTGTGCTTGGCCCCTTGTCTGGTTCTGTCCATTGTCTGCCTTCTCTTCCTAAGCCATCCATGCACGTCCTAGACAGACACAATGACGGAGCCAAGGACTCTGTGAACGAGGACAGGACATGTTAGCAAAGTCCTCAGCTGCCTGACACTGTGGTGAGCCCATGGGAGGAAAACCATTGGGCCCCAACCCTAAGGGCCAGTCGTCACTGGGCCACAGAAAGGCACACAGACAGCCATCAGTGGGGCTCCAGGTGCCTGATGAGGAAAGACAGCAACATCTCATGCTTAGGGCATTCCCAGCTCAATGAAATAAAGGCAATATTTTATTTAGCAAAAATTGTCACTATTTGTTGGAATGAGAGTCCCTCCTCAAGGCTCACAAACTGTCTCCAGGAGGATTTGTGCCATGGACTACAGCAGGGAGATTGTTTTATCATTATGATTATGAAGTCCTACCCGGCAAAGTCTGAAAATTTTGGTAGAGAAAGCATAAACCTTCTGTGTCTGTGAAGGAAAATTGTTATTGCTACTGAATATATGAATGCAAAATGCCATAATACAAAGATTTTTAATGCATTTCTGTCATATAGAGGGAGAGTAGAAGCTGCTTGAGTTTATTTAAATATTGTTGACAGAAAACTGCTGTCTTTAGGAGCCTAGCCATGGATTAAGATTCATATATATACACATATATACATGCAAATTAAAATGTTGAAAAAGAGACACTTATCAACATAACCTTTAGAAAACCAAGAGAATCTTGTAGCCTGAGAGCATATTCACAGGAGAAAAGGGAAATTCATGAACACCTCATTTTACTTCCTCCCGTAGGAGCTGGGAGATGGGAACATCACTAGACCACGAGCCGGAATTGCTGCAGGAGGATTCCCACACTCTGGGCCTCCGTGGGCACCACGAGGACTGGACGTGCGACCCCAGCTCTCTGGGTCTCAGTTTCGTCTCCTGCAGAGCATCTGAGCTAGACCGTCTCTAAAATTTCATCAAGCTCCTGTATTCCATTCTATTCTGAGATGCCCAATTCTTATGCCTGCTAAAAACCACAGTGAGAAATAATAACCTATGTCCACATTTTTGTTTCCTAGGAGAAATATCAACATGCGTCTGCCAAATAAAATATTGTATTAAATGAGTTATTTCAAAAAGTATTCTTTGACCACCTCAACATGTGTTAAAAGGAATGCCACATGTTAAAAGGAATGCCTCATGTTACACGGAGTCCTTCTAGGGTAAGAAAGAGAGGTCATCTGTGAGACAATGTCTGCTTTTGAAACTCTCCACATAACCATGGCCAGCACTGACCCCTGTTGGAGTAAGATACAGGGAAGAGGCAGCCAGGCAAGCTGGAAGAATGGAAAAAGAAAAAGAGAGTCTAAGAGACAGGAAATTTGATACCAAATCCAGGAAATTTGATACCAAATCCAGGAGCGCTGCATCCTCTATACCAAACCCAGGAGCCCTGAATCCCTCTACACCAAATCCAGGAGCCCTGAATCCCTCTATACGAAATCCAGGAGCCCTGAATCCCTCTACACAAAATCCAGGAGCCCTGAATCCTCTATACCAAATCCAGGAGCCCTGAATCCCTGCATACCAAATCCAGGAGCCCTGAATCCTCTATCAAACCCAGGAGCCCTGAATCCCTCTATACCAAACCCAGGAGCCCTGAATCCCTCTATACCAAATCCAGGAACCCTGAATCCCTCTATACCAAATCCAGGAACCCTGAATCCCTCTATACCAAACCCAGGAGCCCTGAATCCTCTATACCAAATCCAGGAGCCCTGAATCCCTCTATACCAAATCCAGGAGCCATGCCTCCTCTATACCAAACTCAGGAGCCCTGAATCCTTCTATACCAAATCCAGGCACTCTGAATCCTTCTTTACCAAATCCAGGAGGCCCAAAACCCTCTATATCAAATCCAAGGTGTCTGGACCCCTGTATACCAAATCCAGGAGGCCCGTGGCCGTCTATAGCAGATCCAAGTACCTGTGTGAGAGACAATGTGAACTTGAGACCATGAGAACGACGATACGTCTGACCACATCGTGTCCCCAGCACGTGATAGGATAGTACTGGATTGGCCACAGAGCCGCCGATATGCACAACCTGTACAAAAACATCCACTTTTCAGGGAGGTGAAGACACAAGGGAGGGGGTCAGGAGGCACCTGCCAGGAAATGTGCTGTGTCTTTTAACTCAATGACCATTCCACACCTGGGTTATAACATTGCAGTGTCTATGGAATGAAATGGGGGAAATATAAAATGAATAAGGAAGGAAGCAGCACTCAAGAGTTTTATCAGCCAGAGAAAAGTTACTGTTAATATTGTTCCTAAGTTGTTTTTTGATTTTTCTTTTTTTTTCAAATAGAACCTGGATCCTATTGTGCTATATTTTTTTTTCTAACTTGACATGGCATCACCAGCCTTCTCTCTTGTTTCTAACTTGACATGGTACCACCAGCCTTCTCTCTTGTTTCTAACTTGACATGGTATCACCAGCCTTCTCTCTTGTTTCTAACTTGACATGGTACCACCAGCCTTCTCTCTTGTTTCTAACTTGACATGGTATCACCAGCCTTCTCTCGTTTCTAGCTTGACATGGTATCACCAGCCTTCTCTCTTGTTTCTAACTTGACATGTTATCACCAGCCTTCTCTCTTGTTTCTAGCTTGACATGGTATCACCAGCCTTCTCTCTTGTTTCTAACTTGACATGTTATCACCAGCCTTCTCTCTTGTTTCTAACTTGACATGGTATCACCAGCCTTCTCTCTTGTTTCTAACTTGACATGGTATCACCAGCCTTCTCTCTTGTTTTGTTTTTGGAATATTCTGTAAGTGCTGTGTGATCCACAGGACCTACCCCAGGACCTCTGCGCCTGCACCTCCAGCGTCTGTCCTGTGCTGCTACACCCTGCAGCCGCTGCCAGGAGCTCCTGCTGGTGAGGCCCCCAATCAACAGGTGCCCTGGTTACTCTATCTGCAGAGGAGAAGACAGAGCTCAGAGGCAGCACAGGTGCAAATCCAAATGGGGCTGTCACCAAGTTGACCCTGGAATCTTAAATAATGCCCCTTGCAGGTGCCTACTATGTTGGGGCTTCTCTGCACTCCCACCCTTTCTCAACATCATCCCAACAGCACGTCTCCATCAGACGTGGGCTTTGTGACCCCCACCCCCAACCAACCATCCCCACAGAGAGGCTCTGCCCCTGACCTAGGGTGGGCACTCACCTTCTTTCGTTGTTTGCTGTGGCACAGGTGAATTACTCATCTTCTCTATGCCTCATCTTCTTCATATAGGGCAGGGTCTGCCTACCTCATAGCAGAGCTATGAGGGTGAAACTGCATCTGTCTGCATGGTTGTATTTCCATGACATCACTTACACTGTCTGCCTTGGGTGTGATTCCATGCACGAGTCTGTCTCCACTCAGTGACACTCTGGAGAGCTGGAAATGCCTCTGATTCATCTTTCAGTTGCCACAAAACCTAGCACAGAGCCTTGCCCTGTTAGGGAAATAGAAAGACCCCCTTTACTTATTTTATAATTTTCCCCAAGCGCTACACTTTGAGTGTAGGTGTCCGGAGAAGAATTGTGAGGAATGTTCTGATACATCAGCAATTTTTCCCCACCTTTTTGTATCTTATGCACCTGCTCCCAACCCCGTGTGTGTGTCTCAACCCCATCAGGAGTAGATGATGCAGCCCACAGCCCAGAGAGACACAATGGCACAAATTCCCAGCCCCGGAGTTCCATGTGCTGAGGTGCAGGCAGAGACAGTGGGTTTGGAAGGATGTTTTTATCTGAGAAACCCAGTCTCCCCCCCACCTCCAGACTAGCTGTGTTTCTCTAAATGGGAGGAAACGGAGAAAGAGTATCCTAAGTGGGAAAAGGACACTCAATGCCGCTGGGTTCCTGAGAAGGGACTTCGGCCCCGTTGCCCACCCCTGAGGACCAGAGAAAATGATGGGATCCCCGACAGGTGTGGGAATCCAGGCACAGAGAAAGCAAGGCTACCATCCCAGGGAAGGCCCCGGGGAGGCCCTGCACAGCACAGAAGCACCCACATGGGTGGCTGGTCTGTCCAGACGCAGTCCCCAAGATATTCTCCGTGCCCAGGTGGAGAGGGAAGCTGTGGAGTCATTTCCTCCATACCCCAAATAGAGGCTAGACTGGGAAGGAGTCGAGAGAGAGATGTGGAAAAGCCTTTTGACAAGAACAAAAGATAGTGGTGTTGACCAATGGCCTGGCCAGAGAGGACCCCCATAGAGAAGATACTTCCAGCAGAGGCCAGGTGACAAATGACAGGAAAGCACAGGCTGGCCCTTCCTGCAGGTGAGACACCCTGGAGACGAACCCAATTCCCAGAAAGGAGGGGCGGGGAGGCAGAGTCACCAGAGCATTGGCTGAAGTTTGTCTCTCCTGCCAGGCAGATGGCTCGCACACCACAGACCTGGGTCACCTGTCAACGAGGCACCTGTTTCTCTGGCCTGAATTCTAACCAAATATGTCTTTAAAAGTGAACCTACTCTTATCCCAGGTGCCTCCCCCGTGATGGGGGCACACTTTGGTTGGGGTCCCACATCTGGCTGAGACAGAACTCTGAACAGACAGAACACCTGTGGGAGGACAACAAGACCTCATCCCCATAGGCCTTCTTAACACTGTGTTTCTACCTCGTGCCCATTTCTTATGCAAGTCAGGAAAGCGTCCCGCGTCTCCAGCAACCACGCTGCACGTGGCTCGCCACTAGAACGGAAGCCCACAGGAACAGAGGCCCTCCTGGCCTTGTCTACCACGGTACCTGGAACAGAGTAGGTGTTCAATCACTGCTTTAGTCCATGAATGACACACATGTGGATTCACGGCCTGATGTGTAGAAACCCATACGTACACACAGGCAGGCATGAAGCTCGCTGTTGAAAGAGTTACGTAGGTCAGTACTTCTTAGGGAGACAAATATTCCCTGAGCCTCTAGATAGGCCCCTTAATTCTCACGACAGATATTCGTTTTGTTTGTTTGTTTTGTTTTGTTTTGAGACAGAGTCTTGCTCTGTCACCCAGGCTGGAGTGCCGTGGTACGATCTCAGCTCACTGCAACCTCCACCTCCCTGATTCAAGTGATTCCCCTGCCTAAGCCTCCTGAGTAGCTGGGATTACAGGCATGTGCCACCACACCCAGCTAATTTTTGTACTTTTAGTAGAGGTGGGGTTTCTCCATGTTGGCCAGGCTGATCTTGAACTCCTGACCTCAGGTGATCTGCCTACTCCAGCTTCCCAAGGTGCTAGGATGACAGGCGTGAGCCACCACGCCTGGCCACAATAGATATGCTTAAATGTAGGTGACAAATGACAGAATTTTGCTTTTTGGAAACAATGTGCTACTTTCAAAAACCCTAGCACAAGAAACCTTGAGACGACAGCCTCTGGGGAAGATGAGTCATGCAGCCACAATGGGTCTTGTGGTTTCAGCAAAGCCAGGGCAGTGCTATAGGAAAACTCAAAATGAGCCATATAAATCATTGTATTGGGTGATCTTCTTATGCATCCTTGGCACAAAAAAAAAATCTTCCTGGGATTTTCTTTTAAATAATCACAGGGGAGAGAGGAGTTAGGACTAAGCCGAGCATGGATGAAAGAATTTCAGCCACGAATTGGTAGTTCAGAAGTCTGGGTGATACGAACACAGTGATAGAATTTGTCTACTTTTACATATGTCTGAAATTTTCCACCTAAAAAGTTTTTGTGTTTTCAATGCACATCTGTCTCTGGGGCTGGGCCAGCGACTCCCACCCTGGAGGGAACAACATATCCCATCTGTTTCCTTGTGGCTTGTCAGAAAGAACGTTCAGGCTGCTGTATTCTGTCTAAATTCCAGAAATAGTCAGGACACTGCGACTTCCAAGCCTCATACCTGAGATAATTAGAACAAGAAGTCTGTGTTTGTATGTCCAAGATCACTAAAGAATTCAAGAAGCAAGCCAAAGAAAAAAATTATTTTACTAAAATTAACAACTGTAATGATCCCGAATCCATGTTATTTGTACATATGAACTTTCTGAAATGCATGATATTTATATCCAGCAAAGAATGTCTTTTCTTAGCCCAAGAAAAATAAGAAGAGTGAAGTCAAGCTGGCCAGGAAACAGTGGAATGGGTCTGTGTGTTCACCCAGACAGCGTGAGTCAAGGAGGGTTCCACGCTGGGATGATTTCTGACCTACTCATCAATCAGACCTAAGATGAGTGGCCTCAGGTTACTGTCGTAAAAATGCTAGTAGCTACAGAGCAGAGCCTGCTCCAGGCTTTGGGAAAAAGCTGCTGGAACTGGCTGGCTTGTATTTCCTTCCAGAGCCCAGATGCCTCCTGGGTTGTTCCGGTCTGCTGAGCAGATCCCCGAATTTCTAGAAAAATTAGAAACATGGAATCAATGTCATTACCTTTGCAGGGATCAAAGTAAATGGTGAGGCAAAATATGAATCTGGGAGAAGAAGGTTTTCCAGGTTAAGGAATGGCATTTCCAGATGACAGGGATGTGAGGACAGCACATTTGATCAGGGGCTGTGCTACTTCTGACTCGTCTTTTTCCTTGTCTTATGTTCCAGCACTGAAGTTAGTTTCCCATACTCTTTTTTTGTTTTTGTTTTTTTTTTTTGAGACGATGTCTCACTCTGTCACCCAGGCTGGAGTGCAATGTTGTGATCTTGGCTCACTGCAACCTCCGCCTCCTGGGTTCAAGCAATTCTCCTGCCTCAGCCTCCAGATTAGCTGGGATTACAGGCACCCTGCCACCACACCTGGCTAATTTTTGTATTTTTAATAGAGACGGAGTTTCACCATGTTGGCCAGGCTGGTCTAGAACTCCTGACCTCAGGTGATCTGCCCGCCTTGGCCTCCCAAAGTGCTGGGATTATAAGCGTGAGCCACCGCACCTGGCCAGGTTCCATACATTCTTTATCCTCTTATTCTTTGTCTTTTGCAAGAAGGGTTTAAAGAGGCTTATAACAATATATGGACTTTAGAAACTCAACAGTAAAAATCAAAAATATAAATTATTGATTTTGAATATGCTTATGCAATTTTAATGGCATAAGGACAATATCTGGAAGAGAATAGGTAAGAATGTTAGTAGTGTGTTAGGGTGGTAAAATTATACGTGAGTGTTTTTATTTTATTAATTAAAATATTTTTATAGTTAAATACAAAAGAAAATTAGAGGCTTAGAGTTACTTGCTATATTCTGCTGAATTCATCATAACAGGCCATCTATGAAAGAGGAAGACACATTCATCTTTTCAAGTGAGAAAAAAATTAAATATCCAAAGCTTATTTGTGTCCTTATAGTAATTTAGTGTTGAAACTTGAAATATAATATTTTTAAAGATCTACTTCATAATTTTCAGACAAATGCAGGCTGAGATTCTGCTCCTGCCATTTTGACAGGAAGAGCTACTGAAATGCTGGTGCTCCTTCTTACTTGTAATATGAGGATGATAATAAAAGCGACCTCACTGTCAAAAAAAATGAAGTGAATGATGAAATCAGAACGCGAAGAAAGGTAGGGAAAACAAGAAGCAAATAAGAAATACTGCACATTCATTAGAGATGAGCCACAGATTGGGCTCTGAGCTGTCAAAAGATTCTCCAGCCAGGAAAACATACCAGAGACAGGCCAGGAGTGTACATAAGATGAATCCAGACTTGCTTCTTGGGAAACACATTCCTGGAACAAGATCATAGAGAAATTCCTCTTGGAAGTCTGTTGTTAGAGAGAGTAAGGGGCCATCTTATCTTCCAAGGAGTCTGCTTTGCAGTGGAAGAACAGGGCACAAGATCGACAAAGTTAATGATACAATGTAAAAAATGAAAAGCAATTTTAAGTTACCATAACTATTTTTATGGAGAGGAATGCTTGTGAACAGTAGCACGTAGAGCTAAGCAGTGACTCTGTCTTCTTTAGGAAATCAATGTACCCAGTCTTCAGCCTTCTTCTGGGATATACCTTTTTTGATATGCTCATGGGCACCTGACCTTCTCTGTTCCTGGGTCCTGCTCTGTAAAAGGAGCCAAGTACCACCCATCACCAACACCATCATCCTCACCATCATTATAACCATCACCATCACAATCAGAAACACCATCACCACCATCACCAGCATCATAAGCATCACCAACACAATCAGAAACACAACACCATCAAAAATGCCACCAGAAACACTATCAACAACAGCAAAACTATCACCATAATCATCACCAACACCATCAGAAACACCACCAACACCATCATCACTGTGACCAATACCACCATGAACACCCACACCATCATGATCAACACCATCACCAACACCATCAAAAATGTTGTCAGAAATACCATTACTAACAGCAAAATGATCATTACCATCGTCAACACAATCAGAAACACCATTATCATCACCACCAACACCGTTATTATTGTACTAGTCCATTTGTACACTGCTATAAAGAAATACCTGAGACTGGATAATTTATAAAGGAAATAGGATTAATTGATTCACAGTTCCACATGGCTGGGGAGGCCTCAGGAAACTTACAGTCATAGCAGAAGGCAAAGGGGAAGCAAGCCTCTTCTTCACAAGGTAGCAGGAGAGAGAAGAGCAAAGGAGGAACTTTCAGACACTTATAAAACCATCAGATCTCGTGAGACTTATTATCACAAGAAAAGCAGGGGAGAAACTGCCCCCATGATCCAATCACCTTCCTCCCTCAACACGTGGGGATTACAGGTCCCTCCCTAGACATGTGGGGATTACAGTTTGAAATGAGATTTGAGTGGGGACACAGAACCAAATCATATCCATCATCAACACCAATAACATCACCAATACCAACAATATCATAAACCCCATTAGAAACACCATCACCAACAGTGAAATCATCACCATCATCATCACCAACACCATCAGAAAAACACTATCAAAAACAATGGACCAATCACCAACACCATTATGGTATCATCACCATCACCAGTACCATCACCAGTGGCATTACTATCACCATCATCACCACCATCTTCATCATCTCCATCATCGTTACCAACACCATCACCACCAACACCATCACCATCACCACCCCCAGATAACCACCCGCAGCAACACCATCACCATCACGAACACTATTTAAGGCACTTAAGTGGGGACTAAACATCTCAAAAATCAAGCCAGTGAGGAGTCAGACATTAGCTTATTTTGTTATAACGTTCTAGAAAATAAAGTCTCCTAAATTACCCAATACTGTATCTGAAGACAACCGTAAGAAGTTTTCTGTTTTCTTTAGGAAATCTTCACCAACAAGGAAATTAGTAATGGCAATTTACTCAAAAGTAAGGTTGTTAATAATAAAGTTTTAGTGTTAGCTCAAAGAGATATTGAGCCAAGGAGTAAGGTGAAAATGAAGATTCTTTGTCAGAGGATGAGAAAGAGCCCATTAAAGGCCAATAAGAGTGGCACTGACAGACAGGATCAGGCCACACAGATGAAGCTGTCACCTAAGTCGCCCGTTCACCTTGTTATTGGCAAAGGCAGGTCTTCCCACATTTTACTTTGCACAAGAATGAGTTAAGAGAGAACAAACAATATAAGGCCTAAAAAAAAGAAAAAAATGTGTGTGTGTTGCATGTCAGGGCTTGAGGGCAGTGCAAGGTCTCATCTCTGGGAGTGATGTTTAATGGGACCCAAGAGAGGCACCGAAACCCCTCAGTAGAAGGTCACAAGGTCATGACCTCATGAAGGAGGAGTAGATCATCAGAAGGGAAAAGGGAGGGTCAAGAAGAAACTATGGAACATGAGAGTTAAAATAATTGTGTAGAATGGACTGAAAGAACCCATTTTCCAGAAACATACCTGAACTTGAAAACAGACCACTGCATAACTGGACCGAGAATTGAATGTAGGGCCCAAAACATAAACAACATAAAGACAGAAGAGTTGAAATGTGTTTGGAGCCATAAATAACATAATTGCTGCTGCTGAATCATGAAGCCAGTCACTGGGTGATAAGCTTGACAGTCAGAGGAAGAGGATGAAGAGATGAAGGGTGGGCAAAATGGCTCTGCACTAAGTGACAGGGAGCAGAGGGAATACACGAATAAATAGCTTCCTAGAGTCGATTCCATAATGAATAGGGAAAAAGCAAAGAAAACGTGAAAAGCAAACCTCGCAGGCTACACAAGTTCCATGCCCACAATGTGTTAGGCAGATCATTCTGGCAACATTTTTAAACTAATGAATGAAGAATAATATTTAAACAAAAATTCCTGCAAGTATGCAGGTGGTTGGCATAGGGTAGAGGGGAGGACAGAAAATGTAGTAATAGAATATTAATTTCATTCATATACAAAGAAACATGCAATACCAGCTGCTGTAGATGAAGGGCAATGATGCTGAGTGGTGAAGATGGCAGAGAGATGACCCCAGGGATGCAAGACATCTGAAAATATGCCAGACGCTCTTTCTAAAAGAGAATACTTCAGGCTCCTTGTAACTGAAAAACTGACAGAAGGGAAAGAACTCTGCAGAGGAGGGCGGAGGACAGAGCCTGGAGGAGGAAATGCTCCCTGTCTGCAGGAATCCAGACACTGACACTCAGTTGAGCAAAAAGAAAACCATCTGAGTGGCTGTAGAGATCAGGGTTGTTTTTGTAAGCTCCTTTCCATTGTTTTATATTAGGAAGTTCAGTTTACCCAGCCAGCCTCGCCTACATCACAGGACAAGTCCATTTTTCAATCCCATCTCCAAAGAGCAAGGTTTATTTAAGTTGTTAGCAATGTGCAACTTAGTTTGAAGGAAAATGTCAAATGCAATTACAGTAGCACCGAAACTGACCTGTTTTAAAGGTGATTTCATTTAAGAACGATCTACTGTTTCCCAAACTACTAGTATCTTAGCAAGAAATGTTGAAATACGAAACACTTCGGAAGTGACATTAAAAAAAGCCAAAAGAGAAACCATAATTTTGACCCACATTTCTAGACCCGGGGTTTACCTCAGCGATGACAACACCTGTGGGCTGAGAACAAGGGCAAAAATAAACAAGAAGAATCTCACAGAGCACCACAAGATCACGGAGAAATTATGAAGGGAAAGCTCACTCTCCAAATAGAAGACACATGACAAGTTCAACAGGTTCAAATCATTTAATGATGACCCAACGCGGAGTTGCTGAAAGATCAAGGGCGCCTCCTGCTGTTTCTTAAAGTAGAATCTGACTTAAGGGTGTGCTGTCTTTGCTAGGGGCATGCTGGGGGAAGGCAGTGTCTTCCTTCCCGCTGAAGATGGTCCCAACCTCGGAAGGGGTTTCCTGAGGCCTCCCCAGCCATGTGGAACTGTGAATCAATTAATCCTATTTCCTTTATAAATTATCCAGTCTCAGGTATTTCTTTATAGCAGTGTACAAATGGACTAGTACAATAATAACGGTGTTGGTGGTGATGATAATGGTGTTTCTGATTGTGTTGACGATGGTAATGATCATTTTGCTGTTAGTAATGGTATTTCTGACAACATTTTTGATGGTGTTGGTGATGGTGTTGATCATGATGGTGTGGGTGTTCATGGTGGTATTGGTCACAGTGATGATGGTGTTGGTGGTGTTTCTGATGGTGTTGGTGATGATTATGGTGATAGTTTTGCTGTTGTTGATAGTGTTTCTGGTGGCATTTTTGATGGTGTTGTGTTTCTGATTGTGTTGGTGATGCTTATGATGCTGGTGATGGTGGTGATGGTGTTTCTGATTGTGATGGTGATGGTTATAATGATGGTGAGGATGATGGTGTTGGTGATGGGTGGTACTTGGCTTTCTGCTTGCTTTAACCCTCTTTGCCTCCAATCTTACTTCAGGCCATCCTGCCGCCCATTTACTAAGCCCCTTTGCTCTCCCCCTATGAAGCCTATGCAGAGAGAACAGCTTGAGAGCTGCAGGGATCCCTTGCCTTGACTTCTTTTCTGCCCCATTATTATTAGGTCCTGTTATTCTAGTTATCACCACAGCCTAAAAATTAAGCATCTGCTCTCTGGAAGGGGTTGCTGTGGTTCACCTAATCAGGCCAGAGCCCCGCATGGGATTCACATCAGGAAGAGGTAGAGCCATGAGTCCTCCCTGGAGCCAATGTTAGTTACTCTGAAATCACAGCCCAATGACTATGGGCTGCAATAGGATCTTCTTCCTCTAAATACTCATCTTCCCTTTCCTACTCCTCCCCTTTCTCTCTTCCTGCATGCACACCCCCATCTATGCCTCTCTGATGACTCAAACCATACAAATGGTCCTTCCTGTGCTGAGCAGTCTCTGGGAGGTCTAGCTTCTATCTGCTGAGGTTGCATCTGATAGGCTCCCACAACATCTAGCACTCTGATTGACATGAGTCAATCCCTGTGATTGACACACATCAATCCTTGTGATTGACATGCATCTGATAGGCTCCCATAACATCTAGCACTGTGATGGATACACCATAGACATCCAACAAAATACATCCAACAAAATGCATTCACCTGAATGTGTGAGCTGAAATTAGTTAAATTCCTGGAAGCTACTTTGCAGAGAAAGTTTATTAATTCATAATTAATATCACTTCTGGTCATTTGCATTTCATTTGATGTACCATTATTAATGAAAGACTGATTGAATGAGCATAATGTGATTGAAATCTGAATTAATATATTGTAATAATTTATTGTTTCCCTAATTCCAAGTCAATAGGAGTGGAATGGACCTACATTCTTAGACCAGTGACATTCAAAATGAAAAACCCATTTTACCTTCATATCCATTTAAGTCTCTTGGTGAAAATTTGATTGTCTGACTACAATAACTTTCCTTGATGGTGACAAATAGGTAAATTTTCTGGCTCTAGTCAAGGAAGCCATGCTTTTCTAAGTCCACATGCTTGTCCTTGGACATTATGAATGACCATACATGCACTGCAATGGGCTACTGAAGCTCTAATTCGGTCTTGAGACTCTATTCCACGTGTGAAGTTTCTCAGGGTTCACAACAGCAGCAAAATCTTTAACTGAATTATGCTTTCAATCTGGCCATTGCAGCTGTCCTATACATTTCTCCTGTGTAAATAGCATTAACTATATAATGTATGGGCTCGCTACTATTTGCCGCTGCTGTACAATAAAACATCCATTTTGTTTTTTATTGTAAACAGATGGAAGCTGCACAGAATGAAATTAGAATAATAATTCTAAGTAAATCAAGTTTAATTATAATTTTCCTAATACACTGAGTGTTAGAAAATCCGTATTAATGTGTTGAGTCTCATGGACTAAAGTTTGCACATGGACATTATTTTAGTCAAATGCACTTCAAGTTGTAAATTATCTGATTTGAGAATTTTTACATGTCATCAACTAATTTAATTCAACTAAAAAATGTATTAAGTTTGTGCAAAACCTAGTATGAGACTCTGCCTTAGGCATAGTGAAAAATGAAAAATTAAACTTCAAGCACCTTCACAAGGAGAAGGCTGGTATAGTTTCTCAAATGTATACATTTAAGAGTTTGTCCACCATGTTTATGTTAAAAAAAACCTGCAACAATTGTTTTCACACTGAACCACCATCCAATCACTCAGCATGTGAGTTTGGCAACGTGATGCGAAATCACAAATCAGACTATTGACGCCTTTTATTGATTGATTTAAATAGATTGCTTTTACTCTTTGACCAAAACGGTGACTAGAGGTGATGAATATGTTAATTAGCTTTATTCTGGCAATCATTTCACAATGTATATGTATACAAGAACATCACATTGTACACCTTAAATATACACAATTTTTCTGTCTGGTAAACCTCAGTAAAGCTGGGAAGATAGATAGATAGATAGATAGATAGATAGATAGATAGATAGATAGACAGACAGACAGATAGATAATCGGATGGATAAATGGATGAAGAGATGGATAGATATGTAGATGGACGGATGAGTAGATGGATGGATGGATGGATGGATGGATGGATGGATGGATGGATGGATGAATGGATGGATAAATGGATGGATGGATAGACGGGATAGATGGATGGATGGATGGAAGGATGGATGGATGGATGGATAAATGGATGGATGGATAGACGGGATAGATGGATGGATAGATGGGTGGATGGATGGATGGATGGATGGATGGATGGATGGACAAACAGATAGATGGATGGGTGGGTAGGTGGATGGATGGATGGATGGATGGATGGATGGATGGATGGATAGATGGACAAACAGATAGACGGATGGATGGATGGATGGATGGATAGATGCATGGATGTATGGGTGGATGGATGGATGGATGGATAAATTGATAGATGGATGAATGGATGGATGAATGGATGGATGGATGGATGGATGGATGGATAGATGGACAAACGGATGGATGGATGGATGGATGGATGGATGGATGGATGGATGGACAAACAGATGGATGGATGGATGGATGGACAAACGGATGGATGGATGGACAAACGGATGGATGGATGGATGGATGGATGGATGGATGGATGGACGGATGGACGGATGGACAGATACTTGCTTTAGGTCAACACAAAGACTATACCAGACCATATGCACAAGGTGTTCATAGTCACAGAAGTCTGAACTGCAAACCACAGAGAGCACATGGAACTTGGAAGTATACAAAGGAAAGTCAAAAACATAATGAATGGCCTTTAAACTGAGCCATAACAAAGGCATAAAGGAGCTAGAGGGCAAATACTTCCTGCTTTACGTTAAGAATCTATTATTAAGGCTCGGCCTGTAATCCCAACACTTTGGGAGGTTAAGGTGGGCAGATCACATGAGTTCAGTAGTTCGAGACCATCCTGGGCAAAATGGTGAAACCCCGTCTCTACCAAAAATACAATAAATAAATAAATAAATAAATAAATAAATAATTAGCCGGGTGTCATGGTGCGCGCCTGTAGTTCCAGCTACTGAGGGGGCTGAGGTGGATCACTTGAGCCCAGGAGGTGGAGGTTGCAGGGAGCCAAGATCGCACCACTACAATCCAGCCTGGGTGACAGAATGAGATCCTGTCTCAAAAAAATAAAAATTAAAAATTAAAAGAGTTTATTATTAAGCTACAGTCGTCTATCACAGCAATAGTCAAAATTCTTGGTAAAAATTTAGATGCCTCATGATATTTTTATTATTACCTATATTAATAGAAAGAAACTCTGTTAAAACTCTGTAGTTACTACTGTCACGGATTATCTTCAAAGCCTGTCAGAGCCACGCTCCGACATAACCCCTTCCTTGCTCGGGGTGGTGTTTACCGTTATGGGCGCTCCCTCCGGTGGCCGCTGCTGCATGTGGGGGTCAGGCCGAGGGCGGCTCAGCTTGCCCACACGTCTAGGTGGACACTGCAGCAGTGGGCCTTCTGTAAAATGCTGCCTCTGCGTTATCCCAGGAATCCATGGACTCCAAGGACACTGCCTTTTCAATCCTATCATTTTGTATTTTTTTTTTGGATAAAATGTTATTTTTGATCCTGTCAATAATAAGGAAAATTGGTACAGAAAGCATACACCAGATGGTTAACAAAAACTAATTATTGATCAGCTTATGTTAGCTATGTAAGGACTATTCTTTCATAGTTATTTGTTTACTTTGGAATATTCAAATATACTCAAATATACACACAGTACTTTGAATATATACAGAGTACACAATTTCCATACATTAAAGCAGGGGTGTCCAACCTTTTGGCTTCCCTGGGCCACATTGGAAAAAAGAGGTATTGTCTTGGGCCACACATAAAACACACTAACACTAATGATAGTGGATGAGCTAAGAAAAAGTCCATGCATACTTTTCAAGATACTCACCACCACAGATAAGCCAAAAAGTCCTCACATTCAAAGGACTTGACTTTGACATGACTGTATTACAGTATATTTGGGGAAGATTGCATCTTCTACTCACTCATGCTTAGCAGTTTCTGGTGTATCCCTCCAGATAATCTGGCTTATCTGCGTTTATTTTTATTATTTATTTATTTAGAGACAGAGTCTCACTCTGTTGCCCAGGCTGGAGTGCAGTGGCATGGTCTCGGCTCACTGCAACCTCTGCCTCCCAGGTTCAAGCAATTCTCCCTGCCTCAGCCTCCCCAGTAGCTGGGATTACAGGTGTGCACCACCATGCTCAGCTACGTTTTGTATTTTTAGTAGAGATGGGGTTTCACCATGTTGGCCAGGCTGGTCTGGAATTCCTGACCTTAAGTGATCTGCCCACCTCGGCTTCCCAAAGTGCTGGGATTACAGGCATGAGCCACCGCGCCCAGTCTTATCTGCATTTATAATTTTTATTTTTTACTCAGTGCTGTTGGACTGTTCTGGGCCTTGCCTCCATCATAGGTTATGCTTTCTGGAATTTTTAATTTATTTTATTTTATTGATTTACTGTTTTTTTGAGACAGAGTCCCTCTGTGTCACCCAGGCTGGAGTGCAGTGGCTCATTCTCGGCTCACTGCAACCTCTGCCTCCTGGGTTCGAGCGATTATCCTGCCTCAGCCTCCCGAGTAGCTGGAACTGTAGGTGCCCGCCACCACGCCCAGCTAATTTTTATATTTTTAGTAGACACAGGGTTTCACCATCTTGGCCAGGATGGTCTCGATCTCTTGACCTCGTGATCTGCCCACCTCGGCCTCCCAAAGTGCTGTGATTACAGGCATGAACCACTGCGCCCGGCCTATACATTATTTTTAAACTGAGACTAGACAAGAAGAGAACACCGCATATTTATATCACCTCCAACCATGCCTCCCTCCCTCTCACTTCCATTTCTGTGTTATTTCATAGCATCTTATTTATAACATTTGTCATTATAATATCCTCTCATTTACCATAATCCTATAGGAGCTTTAGTCTTATTCCTACATTAAATGTCTTCAGTGCTCACGGCTCACTTTTTATCTGTGTCTCCATCTGTTTGGAGACATCCAAGTTTGTTCTAGAGTCATCTTCTAGAAATCTCTTTAGGATGGCTTCACCAGTCCTGCATCCCCTGGGTCTCACATGCTTTAAGAGACTTACAGTATTTTTAATAAAGCCCATGCTTTTTTCATTTCTCATTAAATTATCTCAATAAATTGAGTCTTTTCTGGATCAGCTATTTTACCCAAGGTACAAATTGGGGAGAGACTAGGTCAGAATTTCCCCAGCTCAAAATGAAGCTCCTTGTGACTCAGAGCCTGTGTGCATGTGTGTATACATGCAGGTGTGTGTATGAGTGTGAATGCATGTGTGTATGCATTAGTTGTCATTATGTCTCCCCAGCTAAAAGAACATGCATTAGTTGTCATTATGCATTAGTTGTCATTGTATGCATTAGTTGTCATTATTTCTCCCCAGCTAAAAGAACATGCATTAGTTGTCATTATGCATTAGTTGTCATTGTATGCATTAGTTGTCATTATTTCTCCCCAGCTAAAAGAACGTGAGGCTGTGCCTGCTTCAACCCCAGTCTCTCTCCCACCTTGCTTCCCTGGCAGCCACCTCCTGCAGGAGTCGCTCGCTAAAGTCACCTCTCACGGCCTCTGCACAACACCTGACACCTGGTAAGTGCTCAACACGTGCAGGGTTTCCTTTTCTCTGTGCAACGTCTCCTGTCCTTCAGTGACACCCTGGGTCATTTCTACAGTAGCCTTGCATCAGACACCCTGCTCCAAGCAAGACACGTGGATTCTGCCTGAGGCTGCGGCATCCCTTCAGGAGTCTTGGCAAGTTGGGCGCTGTGTCTGGGAGCTGCTCTGCTCTCCAAGCCGTCCCATGCCCCGGTTGGGTCTTCCCTCCTTCCACGCCCTTTCACGTGCACTGTAGAATCCATGGTTACGCTGTGAGCTCCATGGAAGCTTGAGTTTGCTTTCTGGCTTTTGTTCTTATTCTCTGGGGACAACTTTAGAAAGAAGAAGAAAATAGAGACGTCTTTACCCTGCTGTCTTAAAATAGAGACAGAAAGTAGGAGAGTTGTTGCCAGGGGCTGACGGGAGGGGAGCAGGAATGAGTGTTGAATGGGGCAGAGCATCAGTCTGGGACGATGAAAAGGCTCTGGAGGTGGATGGTGATGATGGTTACACAACAGGGCTCTAATGCCACAGAGCTGCACACTTAAAAATGGTAAATTTGGCCGGGTGTGATGGCTCATGCCTGTAATCCCAGAGCTTTGGGAGGCCGAGGTGGAAGGATCACTTGAGGCCAGAAGTTTGAGACCAGCCTAGGTAACATAGACACACCCTGCTTCTACAAAAATTTTAAATTAAAATTAAATTTTCTAAATGGTAAATGTTATACGTATTTTACTACAATTAAAAATAAGCAGAAATAGGTTTAAAAAGATAGATAGATAGATAGATGATAGCTAGATAACTACATGATTGACTGCTTGTATTTTGACTGTGTCAATTAAGCAGTTGATTGAGGGCCTCAAGGCCCTCAAACCAGGAAGCTGACTCCCAGGAAGCGGCTCTTGCTGCAGTGCCGACTCGGTGGCTGTGAGAAGCCCCTTGTCTTTTGAGAACCTCAATGTTTATGTCAGTAAAGCAGAGGATGGTTCTCACAGTCTCTAGGTTCTGTGACATCTAGGCTTTTATAATCTTGCTTAATCTTGCACCCTTAAAATGGCCATAAATATAACCAGGTCCCTATCACAAAACCCAGGACTTCCCACACACAGCTCCCCTGCAAGCATGGAAAGCTTTGTGCATAAGACACAGCCCGAGATGAGAGGCAGTGGAGCTGTGGGGGTTGCCAGGGTCGCCCCGTAGCCTCACAGCCATGGCTGCAGGGGCCAGGATCATGTGGCCGGTTCCCAGCAGGCCTTAACCTCCAGTGGCCAGTGCTATCTCAGGAGAAGGGTTCAACGCAATCGTACACGAGAGAACCCAGGCTTGATATTCAAAAGAATCCGGCCCCTGGCTTTGCTGTGAACACAGCCAGACCAGTGCTTGGAAAGACCGAGCGTGAGAGTGCACCAGGAGCCCATAAACCTGTCAGGAGACTGGGCCTCGGCCTGCTTTACCACATGGGAGCTCAGGGCGGAGAGTGGGATGAAGAATGAGTCTGGGAGTCGGTCTGCAAATGACCAAGCTTGTACTAATTTACATCACTTTTGGCCTAAGCACTTGGCTGTGACAAGAGGTTTTATTTCTGCTCCATGAACCCCTCCTCAAAAGGCTTTTTTCTCTGATCGTGAATAGATTTTGGAAAAGAAAAAGGAGGAAAAGAGGGAGGTTAGGTGTCTCACTTCGGTCTGGCCCAGCTTTAGATGGTCATGACTCAT
Source organism: Homo sapiens (assembly GCF_000001405.40). Classification (NCBI taxonomy): domain Eukaryota; kingdom Metazoa; phylum Chordata; class Mammalia; order Primates; family Hominidae; genus Homo; species Homo sapiens. The sequence continues at coordinate 3,214,079 of NC_000010.11, read as the reverse complement.
TGAAAGTGACAATAAATAGTTCATCATCTGGAGAGTGAAGAAAATAAAAAATACAGCACCGTGTCCCTTGGACGCCGACTCCGGCCCCATGTGTGAACCCTAGAGTGCCTGGGCAGGAGCTCTGGAGCTGGGCTTTGAGGAACGAAAGAGGCTCCTCAGTAAAAAATGACCCGCCTGCACCCCGGGCACACGTCACCCACCCACCACTCAGAACCTCAGCTCCTGACACAGAAGAATGGGGCCTGGGTCCATGACCCCGTCTGCCTCCAACAAACAAAGTGGGCTTGAAGGATCCCTGGATATCACAGCCTCAGTTCATTCAGGCACAAAATTGAACCACTCATCGCTGTTCTGTGCCATGCGTTGGCATTTTACAAGAGTTCAACGCAATCATACACGAGAGAACCCAGGAAAATCATAGCTCCCATAGCTGAGCTGGCCCCAGGCATGCAGGCCACGTGCAGAGGACTAAGGACCACCACAGCGTGGACACTCACCAATCACAGCAGACACGTGCTGGGGCAGATGGGCTGGGTCCCCAGACGGACTGGGAGTTAGCCTTTTAAAATCCGAGTTTGGGGGAGATGGGGATCCAGGGGAGGAGTGTGTGTGGTTGGGCAAGTGGGGTTAGTGTAGGGGCCCTGGGACAGCTGCTATTTACTAACCAGTAGGAAAGTCTTTCCACATTCTAGAAAGCAGCTGCAGCCCTCGTGGGAACGGCTGATGTTGCCTGATTTGTGAGGCTCCGAGCCCTGACCTGGCGAAGTTCCCAGCCCCCACTTCCCACAGAGAGATTTGAAGCAGCTTGTAGCTCCCAGCGCACATCTCACCGTTCCATTCCTGCTCCTCTTTGGGCCTCCCACCTTCTGTCAGGTTTGCCCTCCTTATCTCAGTGTGCAAATTGGCCTTACCTCAGTGGGGTGGGGGGAGGGGGGAGGGATATCATTAGGAGATATACCTAATGTAAATGACGAGTTAATGGGTGCAGCACACCAACATGGCACATGTATACATAGGTAACAAACCTGCACGTTGTGCACATGTACCCTAGAACTTAAGGTATAATAAAAACAAAGATGTAGAAGGAAATATTACTGAAGAGAAGTAGCCAGGGAAAAACACCCCAAAGTCCTTGCCCTTCCCTGCGTCCTGCAACATGTGAAAACAGACCATCCAAACACTTCATTTTAGTCAACATTAATCGGGTATTTCTTCCAGACAGGACTTGGAGGTTTTTAGTTTTAATTTTTTATTTTAGTGTAACTAGATTTGGTGCAGTGCCTGGCACACAGTAGGTGCTCAATAAATTATTTAAAATATTTTCAATAAGTTTTATTCACCTGTTAGTTAATAGGAGAATTCATGTTGGTATAATTATAATCAGATATCTTAGTGAAAAAAGTGAAAACTCAGGTGACAAATAAGCAAACCCTGAGGGGACTCTAACCAGCAACAAATCAGAAAGCAGGGTTTAGTGAGAGTAAGTTTCCTTGTGGACAACATGCCTGTGAACAAAGGTGCTAAGTGTGCACTTCTGCTTTTAAATGAGCAAAAATGCATACATGCAACTATTAGAAATTTAAAATGAGTTGAGGAACAAGAAAACTGATTAAAGAAAAAAATTGTTATTGAATTCATAGATTGTATGCAACTACTAAAAGGAAACTGGGTATATCAGCCTGAAAGTTTACTTCAAAAATGAAATGTCAATCAGGCGCAGTGGCTCATGCCTGTAATCCCAGCACTTTGGAAGGCCAAGGCAGATGGATCACCTGAGGTCAGGAGTTCAAGACCAGCCTGGCCAACATGATGAAACCTCGTCTCTACTAAAAATACAAAAAAATTAGCTGGGCATGGTGGCGGGCACCTGTAATCCCAGCTACTTGGGAGACTGAGGCAGGAGAAATGCTTGAACCCAGGAGGCGGAGGTTGCAGTGAGCTGAGATCATGCCATTGCACTCTAGCCTGGGTAATAACAGCGAAACTCTGTTGCAAAAAAAAAAAAAAAAAAAAAAAAAAAAAAAAAGGTCTCCTAAAGGAAACAGGACCAGATGTGCTGGACACCTGATCAGGTATGGTAGACACTTAACTCAGTGTGGTAGACACCTGACCAGGTATGGTAAACACCTAACTAGGTATGGTAGACACCTGACCAGGTATGCCACACACCTGACTAGGCATGCTGGACACCTGACTGAGAATGCTTTATCCTGATGGACAAGAGTTCATTCCCCAGAGTCCATCTTCCTTCTCAGAGCTGATCCCCTGGTAAGGCATTTAAACTGTGTTTCTAAGTGGATAGGGTATCTTCCATGTGACTTCAGAAAAATCTAAAATGATAATAATGGCTGGTATTATTAAGCATTTGCTATGTGCCTTGCTATGTGCCAATGTCACAGACATTGTTCTGTTTAATGCTCACAATACTTGTATGAGATAATTTCTTACAAATGGGGAAACAGATTTGAAATGGGAAAACAACTGTTTAAATTCCCATGAACAATAATCAATTGATCTAAGCCCAGGTCTGTCCCAAGTCTGGCTGTCAGCCCTGTCACCTCCTGTCCCAAACAATATCACTGGTGTGAGCCCAAGGTTACACCTGTATAACAAGACCCTAAATAAGAATGTTGTGAGCTATACAACAGGAGGCGATTTGAGGGGCTGGTGTTAGCAGTGCTGCAGACACTTGGAGACGATAGTCATTGGTGGCGTTGTGCCACAGGAAAGCATTTAAAGGTTTAGAGATGCTTTTGCTTGATTGATAAGGCAATATTCTCAAACTTGATCTCATACACCATACTAATACATCTTTAGATCAGTATACCCGCACATCCATGGTACACATGTCCAAAGTGTGTTTTCATAAAATGCAAACACTGAATGTATTCTTGAGGCTGAAGTTGTATATGCCTCTTCATGAGAAAAACAGGATATTTTTTCTCTTTAGTGCTTGAGGCAAGCTTGAAATACAAGTTAATAGGACCCAAAGTATCTCTATTTTATGTTATTAAAGGTAATCTTCTTTAATTAACATAATCAGAGGAAAATAGTATACTTTGGAGACCAAAAAAAAAAGTGGCATATCTCAGATCAAAGGTTTTTCCTGGTGATTGTGTTTGATTGTCTTTTGAAAACATGCATCCTAAGAGTTTCTAGAATGCAGCAGTTGGAATTTTTACTTTATTTACTTTATATACTTCTAATTCTGACTTTTATATCGTAAGACAATTGGTGTGTCTGTTTATAATGTTGGGAATGTGGAAGGGGAAAACTGTATATTTTCTTAATTTTGCATGAATACATTTATTTCTAGCACTGTAATTACTGTTTTTGAACAGCTTCACTGAGAACATAGCATGCCACTGGCTGGCCCCCAAGTTTCTGGTGCCTTCTCAGCCTCATCTATGAGAGGATAAAATAAAAAGTCCTGGGCACCCAAGCGCATGATCCTGGTGTATGCGTGCTTTGAAGAACAGCAGAAGTCCAGTAGAAGTTGGACTTCGCATACAAATGTGCAAGGTCTGTCGAATGAAGCTTTTCTCTCAGTGGTGCAAAGAAAACCCTCGTGAAAATATGCATGATATGCACACAAAGGGCTTGGCGTGGGCCCAGCCTGTGGTGCACCTGGTGGGGAACAGTATTACTGCCAATACTGCACCTGAACAAAGCCATACACTTCCGTGGATGTCTCAGGAGAGCTGCTGTCATCTACGGAGAGCAGAACCTGAATGAAAATAAGGCAGAGGAATGGAGAAGTATTTGTGGGCATGGCTTGTGGGGTCCAAGGGCAGTGGGGTCTGGAGGATGACTGTAAAGACGACTGCCTGGGAGGCAGACTAATTGTTGAATAAGCTCACTGAGGCCGCCCACCACCCCCACGCACACATTGCAATGATTGGCTTGATTTTGAGCTGGAACAGGAGGCTGCCATGATGAAATGCCACAGGCTGGGCGGCTCGAACGACAGAGGTTCATTTTCTCACAGCACTAGAGGCTGGAAGTCCAAATCAAGGTGTCCTTAGGGTTGGTTTCTGGTGATGACTGTCTTCCTGGCTGGCAGATGACAACCTTCTCACTGTGTGCTCACATGGCAGAGAGAGACAGAGATGGAGACACAGCTGGAGAGAGACAAAGATGGAGACAGAGACAGAAACAGAAAGACAGAGACACAGAGATAAAAATAGAGACAGCTAGACAGAGACAGAGAGAGAGACAGAGAGAGGAGACAGAGAGAGGAACACACAGACAGAGATACATAGACAAAAATAGAGACAGCTAGACAGAGACAGAGAGAGGAGACAGAGATAGAGAGAGGAGACAGAGAGAGGAACACAGAGACAGAAATACAGAGACAAAAATAGAGAGACAGAGACAGCTAGATAGAGACAGAGACAGGGAGAAAAACAGAGAGACAGAGACAGGGAGAATAACAGAGAGACAGAGACAGAGAGACACAAAAATGGAGAGAGACAGCAAGGAAGAGATGAGACAGAGAGCGTAACCTCTTCCTCTTTTTTTTTTTTTTTTTTTTTTGAGACAGAGTCTCACTCTCTCCCCAGGCTGGAGTGCAGAGGCACGATCTTGGCTCACTGCAGCCTCCGCCTCCCGGGTTCAAGCAATTCTCCTGCCTCAGCCTCCCGAGTAGCTGGGACTACAGGCACGTGCCACCACACCCGGCAATTTTTTTTATTGTTAGTAGAGAGGGGGTTTTACTGTGTTGGCCAGGATGGTCTCGATCTCTTGACCAAAGACTGCAGTCCTATGAGAATTAGAGCCCCACTCCTAGGACCTCATTTACCCTTTATGACCTATTTAAAGATCCTATCTCAAAATAAAACCCCACTGGGGTTAGGGCTTTCACTTATGAGTCAGGGGACACAGTTCAGCCCACAACCAGGTGCCAGGGACACAGCCATCCACATGGAATTTGTTGTTCTTCAGTTCTGCTTCTGCTCCCAATCTTTTGATAGACGGAGGACCCCTCCTCAAAATAAAACCACCTTGACTGTCACGGAGAAACTCTGTGCTGCATTATCTTTACTAAACGGTAGCTCCTTTTGAAAGGAGAAGTGATCCCCTCTCTCTGTGGGAAACACCCTAAATACACGAGGGGCACGGCGAGGAAGGCCAGCGCCAGCTTCCTGTGTATCCGTGTCCACGGCAGCCACTCAGGCTCCAGCCAGCTCGTCGGAATTGGGGCCGTAGCTTCAGAAAGGCGAGAGGTGATTGTCCCCACCTCTGCAGCTGACCTCGGGGTCCTCGGGCCCAAGCCTGCCAGCTGTTGCTCTGCCCCAGCAGAACCACGCAAAGGGGTGTCGTCTACATGCTCACCACACACACAGAGGATGTGGGGGTGCTCAGGGTGAGGCACAACCAGGAAAGTCACGCCCTCGGAGGACACAGAGTCGTGAGACCTCGGAGGGACCCAGGGCACCCGTCAGAGGCTGATGCCCTGAGAGAGGAAGCAGCGCACCCGCAGGAACAAGGCCGAAGCGCCAAGCCTGGCACTCGGCCATCAGGACCCTCTCACCAGGGAAAAGGAAGACCTGTCACAGAGCAGTGTGGGGCAGCGATGCTGTTTCCAAAACAAGTTCCGGCCGGGCACGGTGGCTCTTGCCTGTTATCTCAGCACTTTGGGAGGTTGAAGTGGGAGGATCCCTTGAGGCCAGGAGTTTGAGACCAGCCTGGACCACATAGCAAGACCTCATCTCTACAAGAAAATTTAAAAATTAGCCAGGCCTGGTGGTGCATGTCTATGGTCCTAGCTACTGGGGAGGTTGAGGCAGGAGGATCACTTGAGCTTGGGAATCGAAGGCTGCAGTGAAGATGATCGTGCCACTGCACTCCAGCCTGGGTGACACAGCAAGACCCTATCTCAAAAAACAAAAAAAAAGTAACTTTTGAGATTTGGTCTTATATTCAGCAGCCAGGTGGGCACGTTGTTGTGGCATCACGCACAGTCTTACCGTGTGTGTTACTGACCTACCTGGCCACATAGGACCATGTGAGAGATTTTGCTGGAACACAGAAACCCAGCCTCAATCTTGGAATTCAATCCTGTGAAGTGGGGCAGGAGGAACAATGACACGTGAAAATGGATTTGAGCAAGGATCTATTTTACACTGGAAATACTGGGCACGTACAGGCGCACTCTCTGGAGGGCACCTGAGGGCAGTTTCTGAACCACAGCAAGGTGTTCCTTATGGACTTCCCGACCCTGGTGCTGCTCGCAAAGGTGAAGGACTCAGGGAAAGAGCAAGGCTTGGGCAAAATCATCACAGGGAGAGAAACACAGGCTTTGGAAGCTGTGCCTCTCCCTGACTGTCCACCTTGGCAGTGCTTTCTCCAGCAGGCTGACTCAGAGTAGCATTTTATGGCAAAATGAAGTTGAATGGCAAACCAAGTCAACAAAGTGACCTTAGGAGGCAGCAGGTGACAACAACACAAAACGGGCTGTCACTCTGACAAAGGCCCGGGGAGCTGTCAGGGAATCCCAGGTGCCCCTGCAGCATCCGTCTCAGGCAGGCAGAGAACGCCGGCAGGGGCCAAGGCCAGGATGAACTGACCGGGGGAGGGATGCATTTCCCAGGGCCAGGGGCAGGGTTAGGACCCATCCCTCGGAAAGATAAACGATGGAAAGCACATGAAGGAAGTCTCTGGGTTGGCCAGAGTGCAAATGTGGTAAAGGAGGGAATTTTAGATTTAAAGGGGGTGGTGGGGAAATATATTTCTATCCCATAGAAAAATGGTAAAAATTCATTATTACAGATATAAGCTAAAAGTACAGATGTTCTTAAAGTGTGTTTGTATAAAATAATGCCAGATTACTCCATAACAGACTCTTATGACAATGTTTGGGATTTCAGAAACGCAGGAGAAAGAAAATGGAATCAGTACAGACCGTTCCTGATTTATGGTGGTTCAACTTACAACTACATCAATGAATGACTTGAGACGTTCAACACCTTATTATAAAGCACGCTGTGTGTTAGATGACTGTACCCAACCGTATGCTAATGTAAGTGTTTTGAGAATGTCTAAGGCAAGCGAGATGGACCCATGGCGTTCTGTAGATTAGGTGTATTAAGCACATTTTCAACTTACCATATTTTTAGGTTGCAATGTGCTTATCAGGACGTAACCCCATCATAGCTCGCAGAGCAACTGTTCTGGACGAGACTACCCATTGGTTGATTGCCATGACCGCCTCCCTCCACCCGCCCACTAGCATCACAGCAGAAAACAAACTTGTTTAACTGGACATTGTATCAAACACCACCAGTAACATGTGCCCAGAATGTTAGGGGCAAAACAATACATCCATTGCATAATCCCATATGCAAGACAGGAGTCAAAGAACCAGCTTCTATTTCATCCCTGACACATATGGTAGCCACACAGATGTGGATTTATGATCCACGGGGGATTTATGAAATACTTCTTCTAGAGTCTTTTTTCTTCTGCAGTGAGCCTCTCTCACCCCTCATTCATCCTTGGCTTGTACATTCCTTTTTTTCTCTCAAAGGAGTTCTAATATTTTCTTTGTTGTTTTCATAAAACTTTTAGTAGAACATGACCCCAGAGTTGAAAGCAGTAAAGAGTCGATCAACATCTGTCTTAGGGAGGAATAGCTGGATTTCCTTGTGCTGGAATTTCTGAAGAAAGGGCCCACCTGGAGAGCTCATCCTCTCCTCCCGTGCCTTTGGTCGGTGGCAGTGCAGTGCCCTGTGACCTGGAGAGCGTGCTCATCCTCTCCGCCCATGCCTTTGGTCGGTGGCAGTGCAGTGCCCTGTGACCTGGAGAGCGTGCTCATCCTCTCCTCCTGTGCCTTTGGTCGGTGGCAGTGCAGTGTCCTGTGACCTGGAGAGCGTGCTCATCCTCTCCGCCCGTGCCTTTGGTCGGTGGCAGTGCAGTGCCCTGTGACCTGGAGAGCGTGCTCATCCTCTCCTCCCGTGCCTTTGGTCGGTGGCAGTGCAGTGCCCTGTGACCTGGAGAGCGTGCTCATCCTCTCCTCCCATGCCTTTGGTCGGTGGCAGTGCAGTGCCCTGTGACCTGGAGAGCGTGCTCATCCTCTCCTCCCGTGCCTTTGGTCGGTGGCAGTGCAGTGTCCTGTGACCTGGAGAGCGTGCTCATCCTCTCCGCCCGTGCCTTTGATCGGTGGCAGTGCCCTGTGCATATGGACCTGCTCTTCAGTGCCTCTCCAACAAACAACAAGGTTTCCAGGGCAGGGAAGTGCTTCTAACAAACACCGCTAACACCTTCCCAGGACTCCAACAACCTGCAGGTGAACATCGTTTGGGGCTGCCGCTGCTGCCCTAGGCATCCTTGCTGTTGTTTGCCTGGGATGAGTTGCAATCTACTTGGGAAGTTTGTTTTTCTCTCATTGTCTGAAATTCCCACCGGAATCCCCTATTGTTGGTCACACACCCTAGTGGGTCCTTAGAGCACTGGTTTTTGATAAAAAAAAAAAAATAATGTGATTAAACCTATTTGACCCTCTTCTCAGAAAAAAATAATTGTACATTTATATATATATTTATATATATACATATAGATCTATATAAATCTATATCTATATGTATATATAGATGTATATGTATATGTATATGTGTATATATATGTATATGTATATGTATATGTATATGTATATGTATATGTATATATACGTGCAAGAAAAATTTGCAGCTCGGGTTAGGAAGTTTAAAAGCAACTGAAGCTTGAATGATTCTCAAGATTTCCACATGGGAACAATTTGGGTAAATACATTATAACCCCCCACAAAAACGTTTGGAAATTTTTTTCTAAGGCGTTTGTGTGGACTAGCAATAGATTACAATAAGGTGATTGCTACTTATGTGTTTATCTTCACTCCCAACACTGTCTTGGGGGTATTAGAACCACCTCCTGTTAAGAATTCTATCCGTGAGCAAAATGCACTACTATTGAAATATTGGCCGCAGCCGCCGTGGTTCATGCTATATCGCTCACAACATCGATTGGACGTTGGAACATGTTGGTGTCCCAGGAAATAGGTCTATGCCTCCTTTGGCTTTGGCTTTCTGCAGCCAAATCTGCATGGCCATGAAGTTTTCAGTCCTCTATTTATATCCTTAAGATAGTCTCAGGTTGAAAGCCAAAAAGCTTGTGGGGGACAGTTGGGTCATTAACTAGCAGGAGTTTTGAAAACAGTTCTCCCAGCCGGGCGCAGTGGCTCATGCCTGTAATCCCAGCACTTTGGGAGGCTGAGGCAGGTGGATCACAAGGTCAGGAGTTCAAGACCAACCTGGCCAACATGGTGGAACCCTGTCTCTACTAAAAAATACAAAAAGTAGCCAGGCATGGTGGCAGGCACCTGTAGTCCCAGCTGCTCAGGAGGCTGAGGCAGGAGAATTGCTTGAACCCAGGAGGCAGAGGTTACAATGAACCGAGATTGCACCACTGCACTCCAGCTTGGGTGACAGAGCGAGACTCTGTATCGAAAAAAAAGAAAAAAAAAGAAAAAAATATTTCTCCCAACCTAAGTAAGCGTGATCATAAATAATATTCTAGTACAATGTACATGCCTGGATCCTGAGAGAGATTAGGACTTTGTGTGTTTTTAAGACTATAGTAGTAGTCTCATTTAATGATATATTTATTTTTAATAAAACTCAATAAATATATTGTCTCAGCATCTCCAAGGATATTATTTTATAATTTGCTGCATTTGGATTCTTAATGTTCTTTTTATGGGCCAGAAGGACAAAGAAAAATCTTTTATTAGCAGAGAGAAAATAAGACAGATAATCCCTGCCTTCCTGGAGGTTCTGTAAGTCGGACTGGGCTGCCCTGCAAACAGCGTTGTTCACTCTGTTTATCTTCTTTAATTACTGCTCTGCTAATCACAGCTGACTTCTGCTATCAATCCTGCGGTTGTATCTTCTCAGGGTTTTTAATGTGGTCAGAGGCTTCCATACTCTATTCTTATTATGAGAAAGAAACATTCTCTTTATCAGACCTAACGTGGGACATAGAACAATGAAGAATTTTTAGAAAGGAAGGAATCTAAAAGATATTCAGCTCTTGTATCTTTTTACTTTGCAGACTTTTTAGTAGTGATCCTGAGAAATGGTACCTACCTAGGTGACAGGAATTAAAGGGAAAAACAAAACAAAACAAAACCGAAAATAGACAGAGTCTTCGGGACACAGAGAGGTTGGCCACTGTGTGTCTTCCGTGAAGCTTGGAAATGTGCCACACCAGGGCTCTTGCCTCCTTCAGGGACCATGTGGATGTCACCTAATTATCTGCAAGGATCGAGGTCGTCACTTGGGCTTCTTGCTTGCGATCTTTTGAAGAGCAGGGCATTATTGCATGTCAGACTTCCTGGCAAATATTTTCAAAAGCAATGTGTCGGCTCATCTGTGCTTACGCATCAGACACTTTATTCACATATGGGTTGAAAGCTCGTTGTGTACCAGTTAAATATGAATTCCATGAGGGATCTATTCAGGACATTGAGAAGCTTGGCAAATGGTAATGCACTCTGCAATGCTTGCTCTGCTGCTCTCTAACACAAGGCCACTCCTGGCTTTTTATGGAGAACAGTGTAGAGGTGGCTTTCTATGAAGCAGCGTGCAGGTATTGCCATGGCTGTGTGAATGACAGCCATCGTCACAACCAGGAGGTTCATGAGCACACGCGCTTTCTCTAGGAGATTCAGCTTTGAGTTCTTTTCTCTATATTAATCACAACCTTCTCTGGGCTTTCACAGCACTTGACATGCAGACTAATGCAGCAGCAGTCACAGTTTCCCAGTGATTATCACCTTTTTACAAAGCGACTCTTGCTCTCCTGCTGGAATGAAAGCTACTTCAGGGAAGAAACTGACTTATTTATGTCTGTATTTTCAGAGCTTAGCACATGGCCTGGTCCCATTCCATGCCCTAAATAAATGTTTATGGAATGAATTAACACAGAAACAGAAAACCAAGTATCCCATGTTCTCATGTATAAGTGGAGCTAAACACTGGGTGCACAGGACATACAGAGGGCAACAGTAGACACTGAGGACTCCAAGAGAAAGGAGAGAGGTCGCAGCCAGGATGGAGAGACTTCCCATTGGGTACCGTGCTCACTGTGTAAGTGATGGGATCAACAGAAACCCAAACCTCAGCATCACAAAATAGACCTAGGAAACAAACCTGTGCGTGGACCTCCTGAATCTAAAATAAAAATATTTTTTAATTAAATACAATTAAATTTTTAAAAAAAGCATTCTAGGCCGGGCACGGTGACTCATGCCTATAATCCCAGCACTTTGGGAGGCTGAGAGGGAAGGATCACTTGAGTCCAGGAGTTCGAGGCCAGCCTGGCCAACATGGTGAAACCCCTTCTCTACTAAAAATACAAAAATTAGTTGGGCATGGTGTCACATGCCTGTAGTCTCAGCTACTCCGGAGGCTGAGACAAGAGAATGGCTGGAGCCCAGGAGGCAGTGGTTGCAGTGAGCTGAGATCACACCACTGCACTCCAGCCTGAGCGACAGAGGGAGAACTTGCCTCAAAAGATAAATAAGTAAGCCAACAAACAAACATTCTAAAGCATAAACATCTTCAAGCAGAACATTCTTGAGGCAAGCAGAGAAAGTTCCCAGAAACAAAAGGCTTTCATTAAAGAAAAACAATCTATTGAACTAATGAACCAATGAATGAATGAATGAAATGTAAAATGTTATTCAAGTGTGAGAGGTGGGCACACCCACCAGGGCAGCTCATCCCTGTGTACCTCGCTGCAAACCGTGCCACAGATCAGGCTGGCGTCCAGCAACAGCCCGCCCACCCTTGGGTTCCTTCTCACCTGCTGCTGCTCTGATTTTCCGGTTCTTTGTTTATTCGAATGTTTCTGGGATGCTGTGTCTCCCTCATGGCCCCCGCCCTCCCTCCCCTGACCCGAATTTGCCTCCCCCAGTCGCTGGGATCCCAGCACAGCTCTGACTTCCAAGTTGTGCTGGAAAATTCCAGTAGAGAACTCAGACTGAGCTGTTCCCTGTGACCTGATCTTCATGGCCCAGTGATTCTAGTGTTGCCCGGCTGTGGGGGCTCCAGGTATTTGCCTGTCATGCAAATCATGATGGGGACGCCTGCCTTTAGACCCCAAGTCTGCAGCCACTGACCCGCCTGCTCTGCGCCTCCCTCTGACACCAGTTCTCAAAGGCAGTCACCCTCCCCCAGCCCCTCAGAAAGAAAGTCCCGCTGAAGAAGTAAAGGGACTGCAGGTCACAGCAAAGAGAAAATCCCTAAACTTCTTCTGGCTTCTCAACGCAAACACGTTGCACATGGCATGGCTCAGCGTGTCGCATTCCATCCCAGAGCTGCTCATCCTCACTCAGCATCACCGTGAACTTCCCTCCAGGCCCAACCCAGGACCCCACGGTCCCCAGTGCCCGCCACATGCTCCCACATTCACACTAGGGAAGTGTAAGCCAAAAGGAAAATTCTAAGTCCCTCAAGCCTCATTACACCCCACTCTTTTGGGGTTTAGGCACAACTGACCAGCATTTACGTTAGAACAGAGACCACAAGACTGACAGAGGGAACTCTGTGGCAATATAATACCAAATTTTACACAGACCCTAAGGCAGTACCAGGCAAGGGTTAAGTCACACACCCCACACTTAAAGAATAAACTGTGTTCTAACTCTCATAAGGTGTTTCTTTTTCTCTGGCAGCTAAATAAGCCCTGGCCCCGAGATGAGCAATGTCGCAGCAGTTAGAGCTCACCAACCATCAGACACCGCCCAACGGAACCCCATTCCAGCAGCCACCACTACAGCTTTGATTAGGCCAGAGACTGATTTCAGTAACTTTCTCCTAATTAAAAGACCCCCAAGCATGGACTGGTTCCAGCTGCTTTACAGAGGCTGAGCACTTGAGTGCCTCTGTGTCCTGAAAAGAACATTTGATGTATATGGCCCAACTGTAACTCATTTAAATGTTGGGTTTACACCCCAAGGTGAACTTGGGTCATATGTAACAGGCATGTTTGTGCATTATGCATGTGCCAGCCCCCTTCATGAATATTCATAGCTGCTCCTATAATCTGTTGAATATGCATGCTTGGCCAATCCATTCAGCATGGACCCCTGTTCCATTCTCCTCTCCCTCGCAGGTGACTGCCTCCCAGGCTCCAGGCTGGGCAATGCTTCCCAGCCTGTTGGGATGGCCACCTTGCAGCCTGTAACCCTTTGGAAGGTAGTTTCCTTTCTAAATGTGTAGGTTGTGTGATTTTGAGTTAACAAAGTTCTTGAAATCTCTCTTTCATTCTTTAACAAATATGAGGGGGTCATCTATCCCGTGCCAGGCGCTAGAAGAAGTGAACCAGACAGAGTTCATCTCAAACTTTAAGGAACTCTCAATCCAGTGAGGTTAAACAGGCAGGGAAAGTGGCAAGTTCACAGGCAGGGCTAAGTGCCTCATAGGAAAGCCCTCCCCAGGTCAGTGATAGGGTTTGGCTCTGTCCCCACCCAAATCTCATCTTGAACTGTAGCTCCCACGATTCCCATGCGTCATGGGAGGAACCCAGTGGGAGGTAATTGAATCATGGGGGTGGGTTTTTTTTCTGTGCTGTTCTCTTGATCGTGAGTGAGTCTCATGAGATCTGATGGTTTTATAAAGGGGAGTTCCCCTACACAAGCTCTCTCTTGCCTGCTGCCATGTAAGACGTCCCTTGCTCTTCCACCATGATTTTGAGGCCGCCCCAGCCCTGTGGAATTGCGAGTCCATTAAAGCTCTTTCCTTTATAAATTACCCAGTCTCCAGTATGTCTTTATTAGCAGCGTGAGAGCAGACCAATATAGTCAGAGTCCTCAGTAATGAGCAGGGCAAGTTCGACAGCTGGGCCGAGCACTACGCCAGGAGCAATGCGTCTGGCTTCCTGGAAAGGTGGGCTTTATGTCTTGGCCATCTACAAGGATCCCCTGCACAACCAGCTACCTGGCACCCCTTCCCTCCAAAAGAATCCACCCTTCTGGCTGATGAAGGATGTCTTGTTCATGTGGATGCTTTCAACCCCAAACAGACCACCCGGCACACAGTAAGTGCTCAGTTTTTACTTGTTTTATAAGACTTGCAAGCATCAGTTATGATCAGATGGGACAGGGCTCCAATCGTTTGCCTCATTCGCAGGATGGTGGCCTTGAGCCTAGGGAATAAGCCTGCAGCCATGAGTCCTGACACCTAGGGACCTGCTTGCCGCCAGGTCTGGAGAGTTTCCAGCGGGCTCTTAGAAGGCTGTAAGGCAGCCAGGAGCAGCCAGCAGCACCTGAGCCAGGGCGAGCAGCTTTGACTCAGTGGGTTTCCTGACGCATGGTTGAGACCACACACATACTCCTCCATCCTCAGCCTTCCAGAAACGAGCCCCGCAGATGCCTCTGTGTGCTGCGATTTGCTTCCTCATTTACTTCTCTGTGTCTGAAGTTCCTCTTCTGCCTTACCTGCTGGTCCCTGCAAGCTGCCCTCCTCACCTCCCTGTTCGCCTGCTGACACCACAACCTGAATTCTCACTCTGGTCCCGGCCCAGACACACAAATGGGCCTCACCTGCCCTGACAGTGGAGGAGACCCTAAGCAGCTAGGGACCCTAACCAGCCAGGGACCCTAACCAGACTGGGGACCCTGGGGCTGCGCTGGGCAGGTGAGGCCCGTGTGTGTTTGTGCTTCAGTTTGCCCCATGACATCCGTGCACGTGACCGTCTGTTCTGTGTTTGTTCTGCCTGAATGTGTGAGAAAGCTGCCCCGATTTCTACTAAAACTAAACCCAGGCTGGGAGAGACCTCCAGGTCAGCAGGAGCTAAGGGGGTGCAGAAAAGCTGAGGCCAGTGGCTGGATCCCTTCCCCACATCTGTCTCCATCTGTGTGATCTCTCTGCTGCTTCTTCAAGGCTGAGCCACGCTTCCCCAGCCTGGTGTCTCTGTGCACGAGGGCTGTCGCCACAAAGCACCACAGACTGGGGGTTTAACTCCCAGCAAGGTATTTCTCACAGTCCTAGAGGCTGCAAGTCTGAGATGATGGTGTGGGCAGGGCCAGTTCATCCTGAGTCCTCTCCATGGCTTGCAGACGGCGTCTTCTCCCTGTGTCCTCACAGGGTCGTCCCTCTGTGTGCACCTGCATCCGAATCTCCTCCTCTTATCAGGACATCAACCCTGTGGTTTAGAGACTACCCTGATGGCCTCATTTTACATTAATTACCTCTTTAAAGACCCTATCTCCAAATACAGTCATAATCTGAGGTCCCAGGGGTTGGGGCTTCCATGTAGGATTTCCTGGGAGACACAATTCGGCCATCACATGACCACCAGTGTCCCCTTGGGCATGCATTGAATGCTTGTGTTCACCCCAAAAATTCATGTCAAAGCCCAAGCCCCTCATATGGCAGTATTTAGAGGCAGGAACTTGGGGAGACAATGAGGGTTGGATGAAGCTATGACTTGGGGCCCCACGATGGGACCAGCGCTGTAAAAAGAAGAGGAAGGGGGCAGAGCTCTCTCTCTCTCCCTCTCCTCTCTCTGTCTCTCCTCTCTCTCTCTCCCCCACCCCCATGTGAGGATACAGTGAGAAGGTGCCCTCTCTCAACCAGGAAAAGGCCCTCATCAGCAAGTGAATCTGCCGGTGCCTTGACCTTAGACTTCAGTCTCCAGAACTGTGAGGAATCCCTGTTTGCTGCTGAAGTCACTCAGTCTTCGGTATTTTGTCACGGCCCGAGCTGGCTAAGACAACCAAGCACTTCTTAAGTAACGAATGGGCCCTTCTCAGAGCCCAAATTAGCCCTAAACACGATTCACCTGAAACACTGGGCATTCCAATCCTAAATCATGAGAATCAGCTGAGCTTCAGACTGGTTTAAATGCCAAAGAATAAACAAGAGAATGCAATATTCAAAAAGACATTAAAGTTTGAATTATCTCAATCACCTGCATATATCCAATTGGCTAGATTTTCACATTTTCAAATAAATATTGACTGCATTTGCACTCAGTGGAACTATATTCCTAAGTAATATTCTGGGAGTTGTATACAAGACAATTTTATGAAGCCTCTTTAACATCACCTCGTTTTAGAGTCTGTGTCACATAATTGACACCCGCCGTGCTGGGGGCAGTGTGGTTTGCCACAGTCGCAATCACTGGCGAATGAGCTAATCCCGAAAGTTGTTTTATGAGCTTCTTTTCACCAGTGACACCGAAGCACTGATCCCTGTCCCTGATAAGCCTCGTGTAATGACTCAACCCTAAGAAATCCACAAACAGACAGCTATCCCTTAAATGAATGCATTTTTGAGAGATCCCAGTGAAAATTCTGAGCTGCCGTTGCTGGAAGACCTGATGGGGACGTCTCCTTTCGCTGCTCCATGTGGTAACGCAATGGTCAGCGGTCACTCCCTCCTGATGGAAGGAACCAGCAGCACCTGCCTGCTACCAGCTGTAGAACGAGGGAGACTGAGTGGGAGACGTTCCCAGAGTCTCGGCAGCGCCCGGCCCGGTTCAGCCAGGCCTCTGCTGCCCTCCGGTGGCCTTCGGCTGGAAGCAGCGGACAGAGAGTCCCGCTGCAGGAGGCTGGGACGCAGAGCATTCCTGGAATTAATTCCTGGACTGCTGGGAAAGCGGCCGGGGTGTCTGGGGTGTGCAGGACTAAAGCAAACCACTCAGCCCTCGGCCTGTAACTCCTTGCTTCCCCCAGTGCATTTTTCTCCTTGGTAAAATCCAGATGAAATGAACCAAAAGAAAAAGCAGCCTCCAAGATGAGAGGTCCCGGAAGGAAGCCTTGGAAGGAAGCGAGGGGACGCCCCTGGCCTCGGCCTCATTGCCTGTTCCTTCTCCTCGGCAGCTCTGCATGGCCCCCCAGCAGGACAGCTCATCCAAGGACACCCCTGCCTGGGGCCTGAGGACCCACCTGCAGGGCCAGACCCCCCTCCCCACCCCGGGGTGAACACAGCCCCCACAGGCCCCAGTGGGCGGGAATGTTCCCCGTGGTGGCCATTCACATAACAGGACAAAAGAGCCCCCACGTTTGCTGGGATGACTCTTGGGAGACCGCCAGCAAGTTGCAGACCACGGCAGAGGCCGAGCTGAGATGGGAATTCCATGCCCAGGTCTCCCTGGACTGAGGGAACGTGATAGAAAGCTGAAATAGAAACAGAAACAATAGTGACGCCTCTTTAGAAAGGCTACAACTGAAAACTGGTTCCCAGTCTAG
Source organism: Homo sapiens (assembly GCF_000001405.40). Classification (NCBI taxonomy): domain Eukaryota; kingdom Metazoa; phylum Chordata; class Mammalia; order Primates; family Hominidae; genus Homo; species Homo sapiens. Next base: position 3,196,846 of record NC_000010.11, on the reverse strand, counting down.
CCTGATGGACACACGATCTGAAGAGATCCAAGACCCGTTTCTGAGAGGAGAGAGAAGACCGTGGCCGGCAGACAGGGGTGATGCTCTCAGCTGCCCTTTTCCAGCCAAGGCCAGAAATGTGGTGTTGCTTTGGCTGGCTTTACACCCAGGACCCCAAGCGAGCTTCCTCCCCAAAGTGGGCTGTCCTCTGGACTCTGGGTTGGGGACATCTCTGAGCCAGCTGGGAGGTCAGAGACAGGTTTACAACCAGGAACCCCCTCCCAGGCCCGGCATGAAGCGTGGGCTGCGTACCTTAAAAATGTGGCTTTAGAAAGTGAAATGTTGGCCGGGCGCAGTGGTTCACACCAGTAATCCCAGCACTTTGGGAGACCGAGATGGGCGGATCACCTGAGGTCAGGAGTTCAAGACCACCCTGGCCAACATGGTGAAACCCCATCTCTGCTAAAAATACAAAACTTGGCCGAATGTGGTGGCGGGCGCCTGTAGTCCCAGCTACTTGGGAGGCTGAGGCATGAGAATTGCTTGAACCCTGGGAGGCAGAGGCTGCAGTGAGCTGAGATCGTGCCACTGCACTCCAGCCTGGGTGACAGAGTGAGACTCCATCTCAAAAAAAAAAAAAAGAAAAAGAAAAAGAAAAGAAAAAAGAAAACAAGAAAGTGAAGCAGCGTCAACACCAGCCAGGCTCAGTACCCTGGAATTACATATTCAGTTTGTGGCCTGATGTGGGGTAAGTTGGTTTCAAAGAAACAATAAACCTGTAATTTTAACAAATTGATGTTTGGCAAACTAGACATTCTAGAAGGCAGTCGTTCAGAGGGCAGCTGCTGGTGGCTGGACAGCTTCTGAACGGGCAGCCAGTGTCCATGGCCAGGTGGGCAGTATTTGCTTCTCAGTTCCAACTGGAATCATGACTCCAAAGCGACAGCTGCCACGAGCAACAGAGAATGGAGAGAGACACACCCAAGCGTGGCCACACAGCAATTCACAGTCAGGAAGGAGAAGCCGGAGAGGGACTCAGCCGATGACCCCAGGAGCCACAGAACTCCCACTCACTGCAGGCGAATCTACCCGGGAGAGAAGGGAAAAGAGGTTCCCCAAACACCACCAGGGAATAGGATGATATTCATAGCAACAAGCATTTATATGATACTCTGTGCTGGGTGCTTTACCTGTATGTACTCATGAATCTTGATAACGCTTGAGCCAGGAGCTCTTCCGTGAACATTGTCGTTTTGTAGAAGAAGAAACAGAGTCACAGGGCCCCCAAGGGACCTGCCCGGGTCCTACAGCTTTAAGAAGTAGAGCTGAACTTACACCCAGGGCCCTGGCTCCAAAGCCCACCCTGGTAATCCATGATGAATCACCCACCTCTGCGTTGGCCTCACCAATAAAGCTCTGATCCAAAGGTCCAGGCTCGGTCCCCGTGGTGGGCTGGTGGCATAACTGGACAAAAATGCCCCAGCGTTTGCTGGGATGGCTCTTGGAAGACCGCCAGCAAGTGGGAGAATACGAGAGAGACCATGCTGAGATGGAAATTCTAGGCCCGTATTCCAATGAACTGAGAAAAACAACGGGAAGCTGAAATAGAAACAGGGGTGATAGTGACATTTTTTTCAGAAGGACCTCCTGGGAAGATGGAAGTGAGGCAGACATGGCCCTTCTCCCGGACACTAGAGCCTGCACAGGCCTTCTCGATGGGTGAAGGGGAGCTGCTCCCCCGGCCTGAGGCCAGCGGGGGAAAGTTCTGGAACCTGAGCCCCTGAGTGTCTCCTGTGATGGGCAGAGCCCTGTGTGGTGACAAAGACAGGTGCTCAGTGTCTGCTGGCTCCTGAGCTTCCATCTGACTCTTCAGGACACAAACTCTCAGGTTTCCACTCCATTTCCCAAAGGGGTCTGTGCACACAGGGGGCCCCAGCCCAGCCCAGGAGCCACCAGGGCCTCCAGTCAGAGGACAGAGTAACAAATTTCAGTGAGGACAAATAGAAAAAACAGTAAGAGGGTAGAAGTGGAGTTAATCAGTTCATTGTTCCCTGTTTCCCTGAACAGAATTTTTTTTTAAGACGGAGCCTTGCTCTGCCACCGAGGCTGGAGTGCAGTGGCGCAGAGCAGCCTTGAGCTCCCGGCTTCAATCCATCTTCCCGTCTCAGCCTCCCGAGTAGCTGGGACCACAGGCATGTGCCACCACACCCAGCTAATGTTTTGTATTTTTTGTAGAGACAGGGTTTCGCTCTGTTGTCCAAACTCGTCTCAGACCCCTGAGCAGAAGCAATCTGCCTGCCTCAGCCTTTCAAAGTGCTGGGACTACAGGCATGAGCCGCCGTGCCCAGCCAGGATACTTGAAAATCTCAATATCATGAATTCGTTGCATATTATTTTGAATTCGTGTTAAACTGAACTATAGATATTCAGAAGATATTTTCGTTTTTCTCTTTTTTCTTTATTTTTAAACTTCTCTTGTTTCCTAATAAGGCTTTATCTCTCAATACTAAACATTGGCAATGCATTGTGTGGGTGGAAACAAGATTCCTGTTCCCTGGAAATTGGAAGGCAGATGGTGGCTTTCCAATGTCCATCAACTGCCAGGAGTTAAAGTGAGGGAGACACAGACAGGTGACCCCAGAAGCCATGTTTCTCCACATGTAAAGGACATATTTTCGGCTTCCCTACTCCCCTTTCTCTTGACGTGTCTCGCTGCTATTTATGGAGTTCGGGGTTGTCTGGTGATGCAAAGCCGCATTGCATAAACCTCTGTGCAGTAACACACCTTTGGGTGGACATGAGAGGTCCCTTAGTTTACTCTGTGGTGCTCATGGACACCATGTCCATGGCGTCCACTAAGAAAGCGTCATTCAAACCAGCTGCTGTCACTCTTCTCTTACCCAGGACACACCAGGCACCCGAAAACTACAAAGTGAGGGAAGGTTACTGGAGGGGTAGCCCTTCTACACAAAAAGTGGTTTGTCAAAACTATAGCTAGAAGGTAGTCCAGTCAAATGGCATTTGCCTTTTGACTTTATATCTTCAGGAGTTTGGGCAGCAAGTGAAAGAAACCAGCTTAAAGCTATAAAACTGGAAAATCCAGGAGTAAAGATGGCGTAAGGCAGGGTGAGTAGAGGGTGCAGAGCATGGGACCATCGTCCTTCCCTCTCCTGCCCTGCCTGGCTTTCCACGGCTTCATTTCGGGGAGGCTTAGTCTGTCTCTCAGAAACCCAAGTGAAAAATAAAAGTAACTTTCCTAAGAGTCCCCCAAAATTCTAGAATTGAGTTTTTGCTGACTTAGTCATTTGTTCATTCCTTATCCAATCACTGTAGCCTGAGGCAGGGAAACGCTCTGATGGGCCAGGCCTCCAGCTCAGAGGTGAGTCCAGGCCACGTGCTATGAATGGAGAGCTATTGTCTGGGGCAGGAGGCAGAGGAAGGAGGGCTCGCGCCGAGTGAAACGAAGAGGGGAAATATGAATGAATGTCTCGGAAGCAAAAGCAGCACACACCCACTCCAGACGCCACGCCCAGAGCTCCAATTCCCAACAGGGGCGCCGCGCATTTCTTTACAAATTATTTACAACAGGGCACCGCACAAGCCCCCTGTCCTTTTAGAGCGCACCGTGACGTTCCATCCCTTTCCAGCGACAGTGGCTCTGTTTCACTCTTCCTGTTTAAAATGCCAGCCTAGCAGTATGAATTGGTTGTGAGTTTGAATAACTGTCATGAAAGCAATTTTAGTAAAAATAAATAAACCATGTGAAGGACATATTTACTCAACGCAGAGCCCTTGCCAAGGAAATTGTCAAAGTTAGAAGAAAGGCAGCCACCTAGTGGCAGCATCCTGTCATAACACTGCTAGAGTTGGGGAATTCAACTCTATTTAGGGGGAAACTATTGTTATCAGTGAGATGAAATACAATTATTTTAAAAATATATTATTTGCCCCATTTTTGAGACTGGGTCTTGCTCTGTAGCCCAGGCTGGAGTGCAGTGGTACGATCATGGCTCATTGCAGCCTCTACCTCCTGGACTCAAGTGGCTTCCAGAGCAGCTGGGACCACACGTGCGCACCACCACACCCAGCTAACTTTTTTAATTTTCTGTAGATACGAGGTCTCACTATGTAGTCAGAGCTGCTTTTGAACTGCTGAGCTCAAGTTTAGAGGAAGCCTTTCAGTGCAGTGAGAGACTTTTGTGGGGGGGTCCCTCAGCCACCTGGAAATGACTGTCATCCAGGAAGTTATTTTCTACCCACCTCAGCCTCCCAAAGTGCTGAGATTACAGGTGTGAACCACTGCACCTGGCTTTATTTGCCCCTTTTAAAACAAAGCCAGCCGGGCGCGGTGGCTCACGCCTGTAATCCCAGCACTTTGGGAGGCCGAGGCGGGCAGATCACGAGGTCAGGAGATCGAGACCATCCTGGCTAACAGAGTGAAACCCCGTCTCTACTAAAAAACACAAAAAAATTAGCCCGGCGTGGTGGTGGGCGCCCGTAGTCCCAGCTACTCGGGAGGCTGAGGCAGGAGAATGGCTAAACCCGGGAGGCGGAGCTTGCAGTGAGCCGAGATCGCGCCACTGCACTCCAGCCTGGGAGACAGAGCAAGACTCCGTCTCAAAAAAAAAGAAAAAGCCAAATTCCATCTATAAATTCACTTGTGGAATAGTTATACAGAAACTATTTTCATTTCATTTCATTATGCCTATGTTACGTTAAACCCTGCTCCTGGTTTACTCCCTGAACCTGGGATTTCTAATACATATGGTAAGATTTTCAACTGCTGTATTTCACTGATTCTAATACATATGCTTTCTGTTCACATTCGTATGACCCAATAACAACACTATTGGTTTGGCATCCAACGATGTGAATTCATCTTAGTAATGGATCATACTATTAAGTGGAGAGAGCAAGTCCCAAACATTTACCCAACATATGCTATTATTTGATAAGGTGAAAATCAAGGAAAATAATAAATACATGTATTTTAAGAGAGCATGCACATATAATAAACATATATGAAAAGTAAAGCAAAGGCCAGGTGTG